>NC_000006.12:3999393-4150909 GCF_000001405.40 Homo sapiens | reverse complement strand
TCATATCAAGCATCTTATCTGACCATGAATGAAAAAACTGGAAATTAATAACAAGAGGAATTTTGGAAACCATACAAAAACATGGAAATGCAACAATATGCTCCTGAATGATAATGGAAACACAACATACCAAAACCTACTGGATACAGCGAGAGCAGTATTAAGAGGGCAGTATATGGACATAAGTGTCTACATCAAAAAAGAGGAAAAACTTCAAATAATCTAATGATACATCTTGAAGAATTAGAAAATCAAGAGCAAACCAAATCCAAAATTAGTAGAAAAGAAGTAATAAAGATCAGAGTAGAAATAAAGAAAACAGTACAAAAGAGCAATGAAACAAAAAGTTGGGTTTTTAAAAAGTTAAACAAAATTGACAAACCTTTAGCCAGAGTAAGAAAAAAGAGAGAAGATGCAAATTAATAAAATCAGAAATGAAAAAGGAGATAATACAAATGATACTGCAGAAATTCAAAGGATCATTAGTAGCTACTGTGAGCAACTGTATGCCAGTAAATTGGAAAGCCTAGAAGAAATGGACAAACTCCTAGACACATGCAACCTACCAAGATTGAACCAGGAAGAAGTATAAAACATGAACAGACCAATAATAAGTAACAAGATTGAAGCCATAATAAAAAGTCTTCCAGTCAAGAAAAGCCTGGAACCCATGGCTTCACTGCTGAATTCTACCAAATATTTAAAGAACTAAGACCAATCTTACTCAAACTCTTCCAAAAATAGAGGAGCAGGGAATACTTCCAAACTCATTCTTTGAAGCCAGTATTGCCCTGATACCAAAACCAGACAAAGACACATCAGAAAAAAGAAAACTACAGGCCAATAGCTCTGATTAGTATTGATGCAAAAATTCTCAAAAAAAATACTACAAACGAAATTCAACAATACATTAGAAATATCATTCACCATGACCAAGTAAGATTTATCCCTGGGATGCAAAAATGGTCCAACATATGCAAATCAATGTGATACATCATATCAACAGAGTGAAAGATAAAAACAATAATCACTCCAATTGATGCTGAAAAAATATTTGA
Organism: Homo sapiens; assembly: GCF_000001405.40. NCBI lineage: Eukaryota > Metazoa > Chordata > Mammalia > Primates > Hominidae > Homo > Homo sapiens. The sequence goes on along the minus strand of NC_000006.12, from coordinate 4,149,851 downwards.
TAAAATTCAATATCCCTTCGTGATAAAAAAAAAAACCTCCAAAAACTGGGTATAGAAGGAACATACCTCAACATAATAAAAGTCACATATGTCACACACATGGCTAGTGTCATTCTGAATGAGAGAAAAAATAAAAGCCTTTCCTCTAAGATCTGGAACATGACAAGGATGCCCACTTTCATCACTGTTATTCGACATAGTACTGGAAGTCCTAGTTAGACCAATCAGACAAGAGAAAGAAGAGGCGTGCAAACTGGAATGGAAGAAGTCAAATTATCCATGTTTGCAGGTGATATGATTTTGCATTTGGAAAATCCTAAAGACTACACACACAAAAAAACTATTAGAACTGATAAACAAATTCAACAAAGTTGCAGGATATAAAATCGACATACAAAAATCAGTACCATATCTATATCCCCACTATGAACAAAGTGAAAATTTTAAAAGTAATGCCATTTACAATAGCCACAAATAAAAGCAAATACCTAGGAATTAACAAAAGAAGTAAAAGATCTCTACAATAAAAATCATAAAACACTGATGAAAGAAACTGAAAAAGGCACCAAAAAATGACAAGATATTCCATGTTCATGGACTGGAAGAATCAATATTGTTAAAATGTCCATACTACCAAAGCCATCTACGGATCCCATGTAATGCCTATCAAAATACCAATAACATTCTTTACAGAAATAGAAAAAACAATCCTAAAATGTATATGGAACCACAAAAGCCAAAGTTATCCTGAGAAAAAAGAATAGCCAAAGCTATGCTGAGAAAAAAGAACAAAACTGGAGGAATCACATTACCTGACCTTAAATTATACTACAGAGCTATAGTAACCAAAACAGCACAGTACTGACACAAAAACAGAGACACAGACCAATGGAACAGAATAGAGACCCCAGAAACAAATCCACTCATCTACAGTGAGCTCATTTTTAATAAAATGGAGATCATTATGTTAGGTAAAATAAGCCATGCACAGAAAGACAAACACCGCATGTTCTCACTTATTTGTGGGAGCTAAAAATCAAAACAACTGAACTCATAGATATAGAGAGTAGAAGGATGGTTACCAGAGGCTGGGAAGGGTAGTAGGGGGCTGACAGGGAGGTGGGGATGGTTACTGGGTACAAAAAAAAAGTAGTTAGAAAGAATGAATAAGACCTACTATTGACAGCACAACAGAGTGACTATAGTCAACAATCACTTAACTGTACATTTTAAAATAACTAGGGGTATAACTGGATTGTTTATAGCATAAAGGGTAAATGCTTGAAGGGCTGAATACCCCATTCCCCATGATGTGATTATTTCACTTTGCATGCCTGTATCAAAATGTCTCATATACCCCATAAATATATACACCTACTATGCACCCAGAAAAATAAAAAATAATTAAAAAAAAAAGTATTGGATTGCCGGGCACAGTGACTCAGGCCTGTAATCCCAGTACTCTGGGAGGCCAAGATGGGCGAATCACGAGGTCAGGAGATCGAGACCATCCTGGCTAACATGGGAAAACCCAATGTCTACTAAAAATACAAAAAATTAGCCGGGCGTGGTAGCACACGCCTGTAGTCCCAGCTACTTGGGAGGCTGAGGCAGGAGAATCGCTTGAACTAGGGAGGCGGAGATTGCAGTGAGCTGAGATCATGCCACTGCACTCCAGCCTGGGTGACAGAGCGAGACTCCATCTCAAATAAATAAATAAATAAAAATAACGATTGGCAAGTTTGTGGAGAAATTAGACCTTTTGTGCACTGTTGGTAGGAATGGTGTAGCAACTAAGGAAAATATTATGGCAGGTCTTCAAAAAATTAAAAATAGAGTTACCATATAATTCAGCAACTCCACTTTTGAGTATATACCTCCCAAAATTGAAAACTAGGAGTCAGAGTTGTACACCTACATTCATAGCAGCATTTTTCACACTAGTCAAAATGTGGAAGCAACCCAAGTGTCCATCAGCAGATGAACAGATAAACAAAATGTGGTGTGTATATATTTACATATATATATATATATGTATATATAACCAAACATTACCTAGCCTTAAGAAGGATTGAAATTCCGACACATACTATGATATAAATGAACCTTGAAGACATGCTAAGTGAAATAAGCCAGTCACAAAAAGACAAATGCTGTATGATTCTACTTATATAAGATACCTAAAAAAGTCAAATTTATAGAAACAGGAATAGAATGGTTTAATATTGAGAAATATATTAGTTTTATGCAAGCCATCAGTAAAAAATAGAATTTTTTCATTAACACCAAGAAAGTATTCAATAAAATCCATCATCCATTCCTGTTGAAAACTGATCAAAAATTAGAACCAGAGTAACAATGCATTAATATGAAAAGGCTCTCTCTCCCAAACCAAAAACCAACATCACATTTAAAACCCTAGAGGATATCCTCTATAACCATTACTAATTTATATTTTGGAAATTGTAGCCAACACAAAAATATATGAAACAAATAATAGTTATATTTATAGTAAGAAAAAGAAAGTATATATCATTGTGTGTAGGCAGTATTTCTAGTGATCTAAAAGCATATTCTACAGTTTACAGAGAACCCTTCTTTCTCTTCATCTTCACTCCTCCCACCTTGATTCAAGTTCACCTTCTACCTGAACATTTATCACCTTTAATTACTCTTTCTTGCCTTAATCCATTTTACAATATTGCAGCCATTTTGGACTTTTAAAGACATCTTTCTGCAGACAGTTATCCAGGTGACCTTGAATCAACCCAGTTCTTCTCCCTTTCTCATTTGTAGTTTTCAAGAATAAGTATAAAATGTGCTGGGAATGCAGTGTCCTGAGATAGGCAGAGGCTGGTCACAACAGCCTGGGCTTTATTCCATTTCCCTCCAGAAACAGGATGTCCTTCGGTGCTTTGGCCCAGGGGACCCCCCAGGACCCCGGAGTGTAAAACATAGAGTGGGTTGCTTTCTGGGATCCCTCACCTGCAGTGCAAGAGGATGTACAGACAAGACTCCATCTGCCCAGGGCAGCTTTCCTGAGCCTTGAGGGACCAGCTTACAATGGACCTTAGGCTTCCGTTGTTCCTGGCTACGTTTCTGTGAGTAATAAACCCACTTCATGTAACCTGATGTGCGGGTGGGTGATAAGTTGATAACCAGTGTATAGTGAATCTGCTCACACTTTCCACTTTAAATTCCCAGTAACTTCTTTGTTCTTAGAATGAAATCTAAACTCTGAACACACCCATAAGGTTTTAAATGAGCTGGCCATTTTCTATATAATATTTAATACCTGAAATTATTTTATGCATTTGTCCACCTATTACTTTTGCCTTCCTCCACTGGAATGTGAACTCCACAGAAGCAAAGCATTTATGTATCTCGTTCACCCCCATCTCCTTAGTGCCCAAGACAGGCCTAGCACATAGTAACCACTCAATAAGCACCTCTTGGAGACATAAAAGAATGAATTTCAATTCTGAGCATTGATAACTTATGAAATAAAGTAAAAATTTTTCTAGGAAGGTTTCATGGGGAAAGGTTTTATCACAGCAATCAACAGCCAAAAATTTCAATGTGAAATTAATGACAAGAAATGAAATTACCCAGAATGCAATGGAATATTTTAAAATGGGTTTGAGATCAGCAATTGGTACTCAATATGAGTTTCTGAAAGTATGACAGCAACAGAAAAGTTCATCTTAGCTTCTGAAAGTTAATAAAGCTGAGTACAAAGTTTAAGAGATTACTGCCTAGAAATCCACAATTAATCAAATTAACTCCAACTACATTAAATAGATTTGTGGCCTTAGGCATATCTGCCATTACTTTATTTAAGTTAGCAAGGAATTTATTGCTTTTCAGTATGCAGGGTCAGTCACAGAAAAGCTGAAACATCCATGGATCATCTCATGTTTTCACCCTATTTCTTTTGAACGAATAAGTAGATGTTGTCAATTTGCCACTTCTATAGTTTGGATATGGTTTGTTTGGCCCCTCCAAATCTCAGGTTGAAATGTGATCCTCAGTGTTAAAGGGGGGGCCTAATGGGAGGTGTATGGATCATGGGGGCAGACTCTTCACGAAGAGATGGAGGATGGGGGTAGTAGGTATCAGTGAGTTCTTACTCTATTAGCTCCCAAGATAACTGGACGTTAAAAAGAGCCTGGCACCTCCTACCTCTCTCTCTTGATTTCCCTCTTGGAAGTGATCTCTGCACAAGTCAGCTCCCCTTTCCCTTCCACCAGGAATGGAAGCAGCCTGAGCTGCTCACCAGAAGCAGATGCTGGTGCCATGCTTCTTCTTGTATAGCCTGCAGAACGATAAGCCAAATAAACCTCTTTTCTTTATAAACTACCAGCTACATGTATTCTTTTATAGCAAAAAAACAGACTGCAACACCAGCCTTGCTAAATGCTGCCAATACCTTAATGAAGTAGGTGATCACAGCAGATAAATGGCAGATCATTTTATATAATCATGTTATATTATTTGTCTTAATCTCACGTGATTAATAGCAGCAGTAATATATTAATTCCATCTGGCCTGTGTACCTGTGGAGTCACTGTAAGGCATGTAATTAGATTTATAAGGGCTGTCTGCAATTATAATTTGGCTTAAAACATTTGGAGGTATGAAATGTGCACTACATTTCTGCTCCATGAAATTCCACAGATGCTTTAGAATGAAAACAGTTGATTCAAGAGAATAATCACATTGTATTATGATAATAAAGTGTTACATTGGCTGGATTGAACCCGCAATTTTTCTGCAATTTTTCTATCAATGAATGCACTTACTACAATTTAATTCAGCTTGCCTAGCATGATCAAAGATACTGTTGGGGGAGAGGAATCAGCAAGGATCCTAGCCTAGCTGGAAACTCAAGACATGACTTTGACATGATATTGTCAATTGCAGGCCACAGCAGTGAGGGTGAGGAAGTCCAATGGACAAGTGGAGTCCCAAAGCAGGTGCACTGGGGGCATAAAAAACCAAGGGGTCAAGTGCAAGAGACCAAATGCATGGGGTCAATAATTTAAACCAGTCATTATGACCTTCCTCTATGAGGTGAATGTAAGCACTTCCAAATTTAAAAGAAAGACATGAGTAGTCAGCAGAGAAAGAGAAACTATTTTAAAAAGCCAAATAGAAATTTGAGAATTGAAAAATAGAATACCTGAAATTTAAAAATGCACTAAGTGGGTTCAATAGCAGAATTGAGAGAGAATAATGTCAGTGAATTTAAAGATAGATCAGTAAAAATTACCTACCTGTAAAACAAAGAGAAAAAGGATTAAAAGTAGGTAAATAGCCACGGAACCTGTGGGACAATCTCAATATCACTGGAGTCCCTGAACAAGAGATGAAAGATATCAGGACAGACAAAATATTTGACAAAACAATGAACAAAAATTCCTCAAATATCGCAAAAGACATAAATTCATAGATTCAAGAAGTCTAGAAAAACCAAACAAAATAAACTCAAAGAAAACCATGCTAACACACATCAAAATTAAACTGCCAAAAACCAAAGATAAATATCTAGAAAGCAGCCATAGCAAAACGATATATTTTGCATAGGAGAGCAACAACTCAAATACTGCAGATACTAGTGAATGCTAATGATTCCTCATCAGAAACCATAAAGGCAGGGGAGCAAAATCCTTAAAGTGCTGAAAGAAAAAAAAAATGTCAACTCAGAATTCTATATGCAGTGGAAATATCCTTCAGGAATGAATGTAAAATAAGGATATTCTCACATGAAGAAAAACAAAGAGAATTCATTGCCAATATATCTAAGAAAAATTCCTAAAGGAAGCTAATGTGGAAGAAAAATGTTCCTAGAAGAAAACTTGAAACTTCAGGAATGAATAAAAAACCGTAGAAATGATAAATACCTAGTTATATAATACTTTTCGTTTTTAAGTTATTGAAACTATGTATGAAGTTTGAATGCAAAAATTGTAACACTGTTTGGGAGGGTGTCAATGTATCCAAATGTAATACAGACGACAACTATAACATAAAGAGAGAGAGTAAAGAAACCTGTATGGTTGCCAGTCTTCAACATTTTACTTGAAGTTGTTAAATATTAAATCCAGATAAACTAACAGTATGTGTATATATATACACACATATACATGTATATGTGTGTATATATATACTATCATAATATTATATACATATATTCTTTGGAACAACCACTGGAAAAATATATAAAGAGATTGATATGGTTTGGCTCTGTGTCCCCACCCAAATCTCATGTTGAACTGTAATACCCATGTGTTGAAGATGGGGCCTAGTGGCAGGTGATTGGATCACGGGGGCAGATGTTTACCTTGCTGTTCTTGTGATAGTGAATTAGTTCTTATGAGATCTGGTTGTTTAAAAGTGTGTAGTGCTTCCCCCTTCATTCTCTCTCTCCTGTTCTGCCATGTGAAGATGTGCCAACTTCTCCTTAACCTTCTGCCATAACTGTAAGTTTCCCGAGGCCTACCCAGCCATGTTTCCTCTACAACCTGCAGAACCATGAGTCAAGTAAACCTCTTTTCTTTATAAATTCCCCAGTCCCAGGTAGATTGTTGGTTTGGGGTTTTTGTTGTTGTTTTGTTTTGTTTTGTTTTACAGAGTCTTGCTCTGTCTCCCAGGCTGGAATGCAGTGCCACAATCTCAGCTCAACCTCTGCCTTCTGGGCCCAAGCAATCCTCCACCTCAGTATCCTGAGTAGCTGGGAGTACAGGCATGTGCCACCAAGTCTAGCTAATTTTTTTGTATTTTTTGTAGAGATGGGATTTCACCACATTGCCCAGGCTGGTCTCAAACTCCTGAGCTCAAGCGATCCACCTGCCTCAGCCTCCCACAGTGCTGGGATTACAGTTCAGGTAGTTCTTTATAGCAGTGTGAGAATGGACTAATACAGACATAAAGCCAAAACAAAACAAACAAACAAACAAACAAATCATCCTAATGGATAAGTTAAAATGGAATACTAAAAATAATTCGAAGATGGTAAGGAGGGAGAAGAGAAAAGCAAAAACAAACAGAAAAATAACAAAATAGGAGGTCTACATCTAATTATATCAATAATCACATCAAATGTAAATGGTCTAAATATATCATTTAAAAAACAAAGATTGTCAGATTGGATTTTTAAAAAAACAAACAACTATATGTTGTCTACAAGAAACCCACTTTAAATATAATGATACACATATATTAAAAGTCAAAGAATAAAAACAGATAAACCATGCAAACACTAATCAAAAGAAAGCTGTGTTGTCTACATTAATATAAAAAATAGACTTCATATAAAGGAAAATTACTTACCAGGGATAAAAAGGGACAGTACAAAATAATAAAGGTCAATTCATCAAGAAGACATACAGTCATCAGTTTGTATCCACCTAACAACAGAACTCCAAAATGCATGAAGCAAAAACTGATTGAACTGAATAGAGAAATAGTCACATTTACAATTACATATGGCGACATCAACATTCCTCTCTCAGTAATTTATGGAACAAGGAGACACAAAGTCAGTAAGTGACAATGAATGATAGGATGCATATTCTTTTGACAACACATGGAATGTTCACCGCGATAGGCCACATACTACTGGATATAAAACTAACAAATGTAAAAGAATTGAATTCATACAAAGAATGTTCTTGGAGTACAGTGGAATTAAACTAGAGATAAGAGAAAGATCACGAAAAATCCCCAAATACAGCGGGACACAGTGGCTCATGCCTGTAATCCCAGCACTTTGGGAGGCCAAGGTGGGAGGATCATGAGATTAGGAGTTTGAGACCAGCCTGGCTAACACAGTGAAACCCTGTCTCTACTAAAAATACAAAAAATTAGCTAGGCATGGTGGTGGGCGCCTGTAGTCCCAGCTACTTGGGAGGCTGAGGTAGGAGAATGCCTTGAACCCAGGAGGAGGAGGCTGTGGTGAGCTGAGATCGCACCACTGCACTCCAGCCTGGGGCCAGTGTGAGATTCTGTCTCATTAAAAAAAAAAAAAAAAAAAAAAATCCCCAAATACTTAGAAATATCTTACCTTTCTCTCCCTTCAGGAAGGACACCTGAGGCACATGCTCTTCACTGGCACCCAGGCTACTATAGTAGAATTGAGTGTCAGTTGTCCACAGAGGTAACTTGCTTAATGATTTTACCCTTTATTGCCTGCCTTTCCTTGTCTCTTTTAATTCTCTACTCCTACACCAAGGTTTCCTGGAATCATTCCCCAAATAAACTCCTCTCTTGGGGTCTGCTTCTGGGAGACTCTAACCTAAGACAGCTGCATATACAGTTAATTCTCATTATTCATGATAATTAGATTTTCTAAAGTCATAGCAAACACTGAATAAGTCAATAGTGAACCATTGTTTCTAGAGGTAATCCAGGATTAGGTTCCTTTGAGTCTCTGGTTACATTTTCATCATAAGCTTATCCGATGTGTTTCTATGGAAAGACACATCATTTAAAGTACATATATATGTATATAGTTGATTCAATAATACTGAATTTGCTAACAGCATTATAAACTCAGGCCTGAAGGAAGTCTAGCTCACATTTTCTCCATGAGGCACATCACAGCCTTATTGCTTTTACACTAGATAGCAATTCAGCATTATGCTTGCAGGCCATTTTAAACAGCAAATCACCAAAAAAAGCACAAAAATATGAAAATATGTAGCATTAAGTAAACCCCATAAGGACATTTATTTACAGTATGACAGTTGAAATAAGAAGGCAGAAGGTCACCTTGTTTGACCTCAGCTGTGAATATGTGCTTCGGGCAAATCAAATTTTCCAACACTCCAGACATGTTGCAAATGCCCCATGAGTATTGATTTAAAGTTTACAAATAGGCCGGGTGCAGTGGCTCACACCTGTAATTTCAGCACTTTGGGAGGCCAAGGCAGGTGGATCACCTGACGTCAGGAATTCAAGACCAGCCTGGCCAACATGGTGAAACCCTGTCTTTACTAAAAATGCAAAAAAATTAGACAGGCATGGTGGTGCATGCCTGTAGTGTCAACTACTCTGGAGGCTGAGGCTAGAGAATCACTTGAACCCTGAAGCTAGAGAATCACTTGAACCCAGGAGGTGGAGGCTACAGTGAGCTGAGATCATGCCACCGCACTCCAGCCTGGGAGAGAGAGCAAGACTCCATCTCAAAAAAATAAATAAATAAATAAATAAATAAAAATAAAGTTTACAAATAAATTTTAGCAAGTAGGCAAACTCTCAAATACACAAACTACGAAAAATAAGGATTGACTATGTTTTTCTAATCTTATTTAAAGTCAAGCTGCTGATTTATGGATGGAATTTTAAATTTACTTCTTTCTTGTGCAGAACAGAGAAGGCAGGAGCACCTTTGCTGAGTCAATAAGGATACCACCTGCCTACGAACCACGGATGCCATTCTTGAACATTCTTCTCAGCCCTTAAATGCATGTAAATTATATGACATTGTGTTGAATACATATAATTGTCTTTGTGGCTCTCTGTGGTTAACTAAATTGTAGGTATTGTTCTTGTTCTTATGTATTCATTAGGACAGGTAAATTAATTTAAGCTGTGGTGTAAACAAGAAAAAATGGAATGACTTCAGAAAAGCAGCCATTTCTTACACAGTGTATCTATCAGTTCCAATCATTTTCAGAGGGAGAGTCCTCCAAAAATAATTTTTTTTTTTTTTTTTTGCTACAGAAGGATAGTTGAAAAGTATCCTCAAATACAAGGTCAGGTTAATGCTTGTGCAACATACAGAAAGAGTGGATAAAAGAGCCTTGGATGAATGAACAAATCACGCAGGTGTAAAGCACTTAGACAGAGGTGATAACATGAGCCAAATGTTTACTTTTGAAATGACTTTCTTCTCTAAATTATAACGATGGGAAATAAGAAAAACACCCCAAAGCAGGTAATATTCCAGCATACTATTTTTAATATCTCTGACATATAAGATTGTGTAGGAAGGCAATACAAAGCCTAGCTAGGAAGAAGAAAAGAGGATTAATTTTGTAAAGGAGACATAATAATGCCACAGGTTTAATTTATCTCAAGCAATGTCATCCAGCTAAAGCAGGAAACAATTATGATACAGAACGTTGAACGTGGACTAATCATTTTAATGACTAATGGAAAAAGCTATAATAGATTTTTCACCCAGAAATTTATAGAGTTAAGTAACACCACAGTTGCCTTCGTACCACTCTCCCCAGTTCATTTCGGCACAGGAACTTGGCAACAGTCAAAGTCCTCTGCCTTTAGCTACCACTCACTGAAAAAGCAACATTTCAAACCACAAAAACACTCATGTTAACACCTTCTGACAACTTAATGAAAAGGTAGCAACTGACTCACAACTTATTATCAAATGTGGAAAAGCACGCTCTAGAAGGAAACTTTCAACAGCTCATCCATCATCCAACAAACCTTCACAGAGTACAGTATTTTCTGTCAAGCAGTGTGTCCAGAAATGAGAAAGGGGTTGAATACAGGGTAGAATTCTTCCCAGGATATGCCCCTTGTAATAAAATAGATTACTAATCAGATATAAAACACAGTGACATAGGGGCCAGAAGAAAGAAACGCCCAGGAGACTGTAGGAACTCAGGACAGGACTAACCAGTGGGTGGGTCAGAGGAGATTCCTGGATATGCCAATGCCTGGAATGAGAGAACCTGGAAACTCAGAGAAACTGAGCATCCCAAGTTCACCTGAAATGGGAAGTTAACATGTGGGGCTGGAAAGAGGTGCCTGAGAAGGTAGGCAAGGGCAAATCTTGTGGGCCTTATTTGCCAGTGCTAAGCAGCTTGGGTTTGTTTAACAGGCAAAGGGGACTCACTAAGAGATTTTCAGCCAAGGGGAGAGATCGGGGAGAATCGTGTGGAGTGTAAGATTTAAAATTTAGGGAGACCAGCCTGGAAGCAGGGAGAGAATGGATTGCAGAGGTAACTGAATTAGCAAAACTGGGAAGTGGCTGCTACAGGAATCCAGGTAACAGTAATCTCAAAATCAATGAGAGCATGAATTAAGACGATGCAGAGGGATGTGAGATGAGGGGGAAAATTAAAAAAATATATTTAGGAGACAGAATCACTAGTATTTGATGAATGATAGATGTGAGGTGTCAGTGAGGTAAGGGAATCAAAGACTCTTCCAGGTTTCTAGCTTGCACTGTTAATTGGGACAGTGTATCAGAATTGTTCCTCAAGACTGAATGTGACAGACTCTGTACATGCTGTAACAACAGTATCTGATGATGTAAATATTGGAAATAAAAATTATCATGACTGACAGAGTCATCATGTAACATTCTACTCTGATATAATCTATTCTATGATCTTAAAAAAGAAACATTCACACTACCACTGAGCACAACACTGTGAAGTCGATATGCTGACCCCAAAGATTCATTATAGCCGGAGACAACACTTCCTGTGCACCTGCTAAGAGAGTCTGAGATTCTCTCAACCCAAAGAACATCAACGGCCCTCCCAGGCAGCATCAGTCCCCTGCAATCAATAAGACAGGATCTAACCAGACTGGAGGACCCCCTCCCCAAGATTTTCATAAGCTCCAGGGGAAGCTGGTTATATAACAGGGTGAAGATTAGAGCTTTAGAGAGGTCTTGACTGAGTTTCTGCCTTTCCTACTCTTATCCAGAACCATTACACCCTGAAGATATATCTGGAGTCCAGGATTTCACTGAGAACTGGATAGCTGGGCATGCCAATTGTATCTTCAATGGCTCTCTGCTTGCTCTCAGCACGGAATCCAAACTCCTTAGCACAGATACAATGATCTTCAAGCTCAGGTGGAGAATCTACCAAAATCACAATGGTTCCCTTTTGCTGCAACTGGCCCTCCCACCCACAGGGCCATGGCAGCCATGTTTACAAGGCATGGTCTGGACACCTCTTAACAGTTTAGTAAACCAAATACGGACCCAAGATGACCCTCTTTAGGATCTAGGAATCTAAATGTCTGTCTCTTTAACCAGGAATGTCTGTCTCTTTAACCATCTCCTTTCTCTCAAATGCTGGATATAATGGGGCTTTAGTAAATGACAGCTGGTAGATATGCAAATGATTTCTCCAATAGGAAAAACATTCCTCCCGAGGTTATGGTTTTATTGCTCTATGGGATATTAACCAGTTTTGTTTCTAACTTTGCAATCTATTCCAGCATTCTTTTTTTAACATTGACTATATTAAACTAGTCTTTTAACTTCTTCTTTAGCACCCTGTTGGTTCCCTAATTAATGAGCTAAGTAAATCTTTGACACATGCTCTTTCTATATTTTTAAAATTATAGTTTGAAAAAGATAAGCTAATTTCCCACACCCCACTCTTTTCTGTGGTAGGTATAAGCCTGAGAGTAGTTTGCTTGCATTGCAAAAGGTTTCACTATCAAAATATGCTTACCAGTATGAGATTTAAAAAATATTTCCATGACAGCTGTTTCATCTTCTGGAAATGAATGAGTCTTGTATTATCTGCAATATCTGATTACTGCATTTCCATTACCTCTGAGGTTATCTAACAGCCTTGGAGAGAGTCAAGGTCTCTGAGAGAGGCAGCTCAGCCTACCAACTACCACTTTGTAATATATGGAGAGGCCAGGTGTGGTGGCTCACACCTGTAATCCCAACACTGGGAGGCCGAAGCGGGTGGATCACCTGAAATCAGGAGTTTGAGACCAGTCTGACCAACAAGGTGAAACCCCATCTCTACTAAATACAAAAAATTAGCCGGGCCTGGTGGCGCATGCTTGTAATCCCAGCTACTCGGGAGCCCGAGACAGGAGAATCACTTGAACCCAGGAGGTGGAGGTTGCAGTGAGCCGAGATTGTGCCAGTGCACTCCAGCCTACGCAACAAGACGGAAACTCCATCTCAAAAAAAAAAAAATCTCTTTGGGATAAGCCCAAATTGTTCTATTTGACTTTTGGTGTTGCCCCATCTACACTATTACCCAGATCTACCTGATGAAACTTAATGATAAAGTTACTTGAGACTTGGACTCTGCCCACCTGCAAGCCTCCTGTCTTTGGGGAATTCACCTGATTAATCTTTCTGGGTCTCAGTTTCCACATCAGCTCAACAGGGCAATATGCTCAACAGGGCAATTTCCACATCAGCTCAACAGGGCAATATCATTTTCCTTACAGGGTTGTCCAAAGACTTACAATTAGCCTGGCTCACTATAGGTAGTCCACAGGTGTCAGCTACATAAATCTAAAACTCCTAGGCATGCTTGGATGGGACAACTTGGGCACAGAATTTAGAGGGGTGGTTTTGTTTCGTTTTGTTCTGTTTTGTTTTTTGGTTCTCTGGGAACTGGACAAGGTGACACAGCCAAGGCCCTTCCAACTCTTAAGAATTCTTCCCCAAAGAAAATACTTTGCAAATGCCTCAGCAGAACTCAAAAATATCCACAAACTCTTCACTGACACTAAAAACTTGGGTACTCCAAAAATCACTTCTGACCCCCAGGCGTCCTACCAGGTCTGCAAACCTTCGATTTGGGGATGCATGACCTAGCAGCTTTTAAGCATACGCCCTCAATTGTTACCCCACCTCCCGGCTCAGGGCTGGCCCTCGGGATGCAGCGACCCCTCCTCGCCAGGCTCCGCGGGACTCCGGGCAGGGCGCTCAGTGCTCCGGCAGCCACAGGGTTCGCAGAGCTGAGGTCCGCCCGAGAGAGCAGCCGCGCCTCCAGCTCGCAGTTACTCGGAGCCAGGCCGGGGAGCATCTGTGCCCCGCCCCACGCGCCGCGCAAGTCCTCCCGGGATCACCCTCCCCGCGCCGCGAACCCCCCGCACTTCCTCCACTCCCGGGTGATACCCGGCCTCGCTCCGGCCCCGCCCCCGCATCTGAGCCCCGACTCCTAACCGCCTAGAGCTCCCGCCCCGCCCACGCACCGACCCCCCCGGCCCCACCCCCGAGCCCCCGCAGCCCCAGAGGAGGCCACGGGCTAGCGATGGCGAATGCGGCGTGGCTACGCTCTCAGCCTGGCCCCGCCCCAACCCTGGCCCCGCCCATGCCCCAGGCTCCTGCCTGGGCTCTGCTCTCGGCCCCGCCCCGCACCCAAGCCCCGGCCCCACCCCCGAGCCCCCGCAGCCCGGGAGCCTAGGCCCCGCCCCCGAGTCCCGGCTCCACCCCCGAGACCCGGCCCCACCCCCGAGCCCCCGCAGACCGAGCTAGGCCCCGCCCCCGAGACCCGGCCCCACCCCCGAGCCCCCGCAGCCCTAGAGCCGCCCAAGGGATGGCGATGGCGTACTTGGCTTGGAGACTGGCGCGGCGTTCGTGTCCGAGGTAAGCTTGGAGTCCCGGCCGTTCGGCCCATGGTCGCCCGCAGGATACCGCTGTCCAGGCGAAGGTCGCCGCCGTTGGAAGACCCTCCTTCCCTATTGTCTAGGTGGCAACAGGATTTTGCTTTGCTGGTTTTCCGGTGAGGTAGTGCTAAAAAGTGACGACCTCACGCGCGCCCTCCTGCACCGCTGGGCCCGGAGTGGTCAGGATGGGCGCGTCGGGAGGTCAGGGCTATGGTTCCCTGTCAGCAGTCCCCAAGGTCTCCGCCTGCCTCCGCGCACGCTCCCATCCTCCTGGGGCCGGACTCCGGGCGGGTGAGCCGCCCCAGCTGAGCACCCGGGCCTGCACTTCCCAGCCGGGCTGCTTCTGGGGTGCAAAGCGTCGCTTGCTAAAAGCGAGGTAAACGCAAGCCGTTATCACTCGTGTGGACTTAACACTCTGCTTCTTGGAGAACACGTATGCTATAAAGTGAAATGGCCGGGTACAGAGTAACGGCTAAGAAGCACGCTGCACCTCCCTGGGGTCCCGGGAACCCGCACGAATCTGTGCATAGGGAACAAAACCGAAACACGGTGGTGGCCTTGAAGTGGTAGAATTATGAGTGATTTTCCCGACTTTATGTATTTTCTTAAATGGTCGTGTTTTTGCTATTTGTTTTTAAAACTCACGCTTTATTTAAAAATAAATTTGTTCCACATTTTGTGGAAACTTGTACATTTCGGCTTTCTGTGGATATTTTAAATTTTTCTTTCGTTTTCTACGTGGAATTTGCCATATAAGATGCAGTTTTTCCCTTTACAGAAAATCATTTTAATGTAAAACTTACTCTAGGCTGATCTTACTGAATCAGTTACTAATAGTCCAAAGTTTGAACCTAGAGTTCATTGCACCATTTTCGAGTTACATAATTGTGTTTGTGTGTTAGGTTTGGGCTTTGTAACCTGTATTATTTTAATCATCTTTTTTGCCATTAACTCTATTATTCAGTGTCATCGTCGTGAACTCCATTTTTAGCTTGTGGCCTGAGTCCTGTGCATTCAAGTTTGCCACCCCACCCCCGCTCACTATGTGTGCTTAAAAACGTGCTGATCACCCCCGCGGTGGTTGCTGTTTCTGCTCTGTTCCTGGCTGGCTGGTTAAACATACCCATAGAAAGGGGCACGCCTGCTGAGCCCCCTTCACTGACTCCCTTCCACTGCAGGTAGATTCCCTCCCATCTGCTGAGAAGGCTGTGGCTCTATCTGGAATGCCAGCAACTGCTCGTGTGTTCTTTTGAATATTTCTTGTATGTTCACATCCATTCTCCCCTCCTTCCACCTGTGTGTATGTTGGAACACCAGCTTCGCCAGCAAAGAGGCAAGAATTGACCTGATATAGCTTATGGCTTATCAGTGAGTGCAGAGGCTGTTTCAGGACTTTGGGACACTTCACTAAATTCTGTGCACTTTAGCCTTTTGGTTTCCTGCTGTCCACTGTCTTGCATGCACTTCACTTCTTGCCTTTGGCAAAATTTACATGGTCATTCCTGTTCTGGCTGCTTTTATCTTTAGTTGCTTACAGATACCTCCCTGGATGGTTACTTTTCCTTTTATTTAAAGTTACTACTGTTAGCTTCTGTATTGACTTATTATCTTGGAATCCTTACAGCCAATTATTTGCAGCCAGTTTGCTGAGGCAAGTATAAAGAAAATATCTATAGACAAACATGGCATTTTGTTATGTATAGGCTGGGAACAATTAGAAATCAGGCTGCAGAAATGTGAGGGTTGGGAACAAATAGAAATCAGTCTGCCTAATTGTAGTTCTCTGCAGGTCACTAGTTTCCCGGTAGTTCAGCTGCACATGAATAGAACAGCAATGAGAGCCAGTCAGAAGGACTTTGAAAATTCAATGAATCAAGTGAAACTCTTGAAAAAGGATCCAGGAAACGAAGTGAAGCTAAAACTCTACGCGCTATATAAGCAGGTAAATGCCTACGGTCGAACGTTATTTAAAGAATTTTGGGCAAATGACTTCTTAAATAAATACACTGTGTGTTTACTAAAATGTGGCCTTAACATTTTGGTTTGTCTTGCTCCCTCTTCTCTGAAGAGTGTGTGTGTGTATATATATATATGCCAGTTTTTTATATTAGACCTTGAAATACTATTAAGGCACAAAGTGCCTCAGTGTCACACGAGTAAAAGAGACTTACGAGATATAATATTCACATTTGTAGACCTTACTTAGCTCTTGATTAGAATAAATCAACTGAAAAAGGTATTTTTAAGACAATTGGGGAAGTTTTGAGTAAGGACAGAGTGTTAGAAGATACCTAGAAATCATCGTTAATGGTGTCAAGGTTATATAAGAAAATGTTGATATTTTTAAGAAAAGTGTACTAAGGATATAGGGGTGAAATAGCATGGATAGTTGAAGTTCTCTAAGCACAAAAAGAAAAGGATAGATGAGGCCAGGCATGGTGGCTCACGCCTGTAATCCCAGCACTTTGGGAGGCTGAGGCGGGCAGATCCCTTAAGGTCAGGAGTTTGAGACCAGCCTGGCCAACATGGTGAAACCTCATCTCTACTAAAAACTCAAAAATGAGCTGGACTGGTGGCGCACACCTGTAATCCCAGCTACTTGGGAAGCTGAGGCAGGAGAATCGTTTGAACCTGTGAGGTGCAGGTTGCAATGAGCCAAGATTGCGCCACTGCACTCCAGCCTGAGTGACAGAGCGAGACTCTGTCCAAAAACGAAAGAAAATAAAGAGAGAGAGAGATGAAGCAAGTAAGGCAGTTTGATAATTGTTGAACCTGGATGATGGGTATTGGGAATTCATTATAGTATTCTACTTTGGTATGTTTGGAAATTTTTATAACAAAATTTAAAAACTAAAGCTCTTAAGTTTCAATGCCAAAGACTTCCCTGGCATGTCTGCCTCTCTGGGCTCCTGTGTTATCTATTTTTCTGTCCTATGATGGGTATGAGCTTCTCTTTCATATGGGTGTGTATAGTAAAAAATTTAACCTTGCCCCAGAAGAGGTGTGGCTTTGCCCTCAGCTTCTGGGAAGTGAATCTCTAATGACTGGTAGGAGTCTTTATTTGCCTGGATTGTCTTAACGATGTGATTTAGGGTGGGGGCTTCAGGTTATACAGTCATGCACAGGTGATGGAGCCCTGTTAAAAACTCTGGACACCGAGACTGGATGAGCTGAGCATCTCTGGTTGGCAGGACTCCCTGTGTACTGTCACATCAATTCTGGTAGAGGTGCCCTATGCTGACTCCATGGGGAAAGGACAATGGAAACTCCACATTTGCTACTGCCCCAGACTCCATCCTGTGTGTGTCCTCCCTTGGATGATTCTAATCTCTATCCTTTCCCTTAATAAACTATTAATTGTGCGTTTAACAGCTTGCAGTGAGTTCTGGGTGTCTTTCTAGCAAATTGTTGCACTTGAGGGTGGTCCTGGGTGCCCTCCAGCCTTGCAATTGGTGTTAGCATTGAGGACAGTCAGGAGACAAAGGCAAGCCCTTATCCTGTGGACTGTGTTCCCTCTAACTTCTAGGTTGGCCAACTCTTGCCAGATGACACTATCTCTGTCTAAAGAAATTCATAACCTCCTTTACTGCCTTTTTCTTTTTTCTTTTTTCTTTTGTTTTTATTTTGTTTTTTTGAGACAGAGTTTTGCTCTGTCACGCAGGGTAGAGTGCAGCGGCACCATCTCAGCTCACTGCAACCTCTGCCTCCCAGGTTCAGGCAATCCTTCTGCCTCAGCCTCCCAAGCAGCTGGAATTACAGGAACCTGCCACCATGCCTGGCTAATTTTTGTATTTTTAGTAGAGATGGGGTTTTACCATATTGGTCAGGCTGGTCTCGAACTCCTGACCTCAGGTGATCCACCCACCTCAGCCTCCCAAAGTGCTGAGATTACAGGTGTGAGCCACCACACCTGGCTTGTTTTTCAAAGACTCTTTCTTCTTTCCTCTCTAACTGTATTATAAAATTTTAAAAATTTTAACTGGAATTTTAAATTGCTATTTCTGAAAAGTAGCTGAGTGGGATATTTTATTCATCTCAAAACACCCACTCCACCTAGCCTCAAAAATAAAATTTAATTCCTTTTTGCTTTTTACTTACATGTTCTTCAGTTAGGTTTCCTAAGAACCAGTAGCTCTGATAGCCCCACCCTAGCCCCTCAGCTACAGTTTTGTTACCCAGGTACCAAAAGTCCACCACTGAATTAGTGGTGTTTTTTTTTGTACCTTCAGATGGGCTTTTGGAATATGCTGTGGGTTTTCAAGTATTTGTTGACTAGTTCCTTGTAAAGATTGTTTGCTTGAATATTTTGATTGTTTGTGGAAAATGTGATTACCAATATAAAACTAATGAACCATTAGATTTTTTTAGAAAATACTTCCCCAAAACCTTTATCCTGCATTATTTTCATAGACAGGCAGTTATAATTTATTTCCAGTCTTTTTTCTGTTTGTGCATTTTTGGCAACAACATCAAAGAGACTGGAGGGGAAAATTCAGATCAATTTACATACCCTGTGAAAGGATTTGGGGGAGGCATTCATGTACTTACAGATTTTATGGATCTTAAATATTTAGGGGTCTAGTTTACATGGACATTTGAACATATTGCCCCTCTCCTTTTCACAGGCCACTGAAGGACCTTGTAACATGCCCAAACCAGGTGTATTTGACTTGATCAACAAGGCCAAATGGGACGCATGGAATGCCCTTGGCAGCCTGCCCAAGGTGAGTTTACTAGTTACTGTGCTTTTATTTGCTGTACTTCTAAAGAAGTTTGTGCTTCTCATTAAGCCATTGTAAATGGAGTCTTCAAGATCTTGATGTGCTTCTATTCTTTCTTCATTGCAAGGTGTTAGTTATTAGTATAGTAACTTTCTCAAAGTGCTTATTCATTGACCATGGGCTGAGGTTGTTTGTCATCGTCCGTTCAGGAAGCTGCCAGGCAGAACTATGTGGATTTGGTGTCCAGTTTGAGTCCTTCATTGGAATCCTCTAGTCAGGTGGAGCCTGGAACAGACAGGAAATCAACTGGGTTTGAAACTCTGGTGGTGACCTCCGAAGATGGCATCACAAAGATCATGTTCAACCGGCCCAAAAAGAAAAATGCCATAAACACTGAGGTAATGTTACCTGCCCACGGAGTTTGTCCTGTTTTACTTTCTTCTTCTATGTGTTTCACACAAAAGCTGTAGAGTTTCAGCATCATTCCTATTTTAAGATATCTCTTGTTTGATTTGTGCAGGAAGGTTGGTAATTGTGGCTACTTCATACAACAGAGTTGAGCATTCATTGTTTAGAGTTTGTGAATTTCAGGTAGGTTCTGATATACCCAGAAGGCACTGTGATTTTCCTAATAATGGAAGCAGAAATAAATGAATATAAATGAAACATGTTGCTATGAGAGAATTTGCATAGAAGCCATCTAAGGTTGGTGTAGACTGCTCCCAGAAGTATCTTCATGTCACTTAGACATGAAAGTAAGTCTTTCTGCTTGCACGGGGGCTTCATTTTTTATAAGTATAGGGAGAAAGGAGAGAAGGACTTCATCTTAAACAAATTATCACCCAGCTCCGCTTTAAAGTAGCTGCTTCACTCGGTAACGTTAGTCTTTGAATCTCTCACTGAACTAGAATGATAATAAAATAACTACCTTAGCCCCTTCTTCTTGAAAAAAATTATAGGGAATTAATTGGATGCTTGGTGCTCAACTGGGACTAAAATTTCAGAGGACTATGACCATTGGGTCAATAACCTCCATTGTGGCAGAAAGAGCATACTCACTTTAAAATCATCTTCAGAATTTCATGAAGTAGGATATGTGTCATTCAACTAATAAAGCATTTAATGCTCAAACTTTATTTCCACTTTCCCCTGACTCATTTCTCTACAACTATAATAATAATAGCTACTCTGTACAGAGTGTCTAATGAGTGCCAGCACTCTCCACACAGAAGTTTATTTAATTCTCACAGGGAGCCTACTGTTATCATTACTTAACAATAAAATAATTAGATTAAGAAGTAACTTACTCAAGTTCACATAACAAATAAGCAGCAAAACCTAAATTGAAACCCTGATAGCCAGTCGTGGTGGCTCACCCCTGTAATCCCAGCACTTTGGGAGGCCAAGGTGGGCAGATCACTTGAGGTCAGGAGTTCAAGACCAGCCTGGCCAACATGGTGAAACTCCATCTCTACTAAAGATACAAAAAATTAGCTGGGCATGGTGGTGCGCACCTATAGTCCCAGCTACTCAGGAGGCTGGGGCAGGAGAATCTTTTGAACCGGGGAGGTGGAGGTTGAGCCAAGATCATGCTATTGCACTCTAGCCTGGGCCTCGCAATGAGACTCCATCTCAAAAAAGAAGGAAGGAAGGAAGGGAGGAAGGGAGGGAGGGAGGGAGAAACCCTGATAATCCATCTCTTAATCCTGGTCTCACCAGTTGGAAGGAAGGAACCCTGATAATCCATCTCCTAATCCTGGTCTCACCAGTCGCCCTGCTGTGTGGTGTTATCATAACTATAATAATGATAGAATGAGTTCCTTATCACTTCCCTCAGGAGAAATGCTTAAACGCTTATTCATGTACAGTCATCCCTTGGTATCCGATGGGGATTGGTTCCAGGACCTCCGTGTGGACAACAAAATCCGCGGAACCTGAAGTCCCCCATAAAAAGGCATAATATTTGCATATAACCTCTATATACACTCCCATATACTTTAAATCATCTCTAGAGTTATTATAATACTGAATACAATGTAAATGCTATATTAAATTGTTGTTATACTGTATTGTTTAGGGACTAATGATAAGAGAAAAAGCCTGTACATGTTCAGTATAGATACAGAATTCTTTTCCAGGTATTTTTGATCTGTGATTGGTTGTCCATGGATGTGGAACCCGTGGATACGGAGGGCAGGCTGTTTTATGTAAAGTCCATGTGTCTTTTCCAGTATATTTGTATCTATAAGTATCAGCCCTCTTCCTCATTTCTTTCCCACACTGAAATCTCATCTAAGGTTGAAATTGCACCTGTTTTAAATGCATTAAAAGCTATATAGCTGCTTGTCCAAGATTTTCAGAAATGTTGCTGATTTAAAATTTTGAGCCACCTTCCTTGAATACCATTACAGTGTCTTGAAAATTCCAGCCTTTTGGCAGTCACTAACACTTCCCAGACTGCCAGGGGCTTCCTTGAGGTCACAACAGAGACGTTGCTTTGTAGAAAGTTTTCTCTGACCACCTCCCACTCTGCCCACACTAGATAAGCCTCAGCACCTCCTCTGAGTTCCCTGCTACTTTGTACTTTCCAACCCCCTCCTCATTTGAACATGTTAATTCCAAATTGAACATGTTAAGTCCTCTGTTAATTCCAAAAGCTCAAGGACTATTTCTTTCTTGGTCCCTTTTGGAAAAAAAGTGGTTTATAGCCTGCAGCTCCTGCCATAGCACCAGGTACATAATATGCACCAGGTAACTGTGAAAGGAATAAAAATTCCTTCAGTTATGTTGGTCCACCTTTTTGGTTATAAAATACAACCAAAATAAATGTTAGGCACTTTGCTGAGAGCAAGCTTGCAGCCTGACATTTGTTGAGTCCATTGATTGATGATTCCTGTGTTCAGAGTTCTTTTCTTTTCCTTGTCTTCCCATTACACAGATGTATCATGAAATTATGCGTGCACTTAAAGCTGCCAGCAAGGATGACTCAATCATCACTGTTTTAACAGGTAAGACATTTTCTCAGGCATCCTAATTAAATTTCTATTTTGAGGGGCCTCTTAATAGATAGGAAATTGAGTTAAAAAGCTCTAAGACCTGGAGGCCGAGGCAGGTGGCTCCCGAGGTCAGGAGTTTGAGATGAGCCTGATTAACATGGTGAAACCCCATCTCTGCTAAAAATATAAAAATTAGCCGGGCATGGTGGCACACACCTGTAATCCCAGCTACTCAGGAGGCTGAGGCAGGAGAATCACTTGAACCTGGAAGGCAAAGTTTGCAGTGACCCGAGGTCGCGCCACTGCACTCCAGCTTGGGTAACAGAGTGAGACTCTGTCTCAAAAAAAAAAAAAAAAAAAAAAAAAAAAGGCTCTAAGATCTTTTCCAGTACTGTCATACTCTGATTTATAAATATACAAAAAATGTTTAAAAAAACACAGATACCCACTCCTTCGCAATTACCCAACATCAATTAAGACACATATGTCCACCAAAAGACTTTTACAGGAGCAGACATGGTAACCTGATTTATAACGGCCAAAACCAGAAAACAAATGTTCAAAAACACATGGATGAATAAACAAATTGTTGACTATTTGTACAATGGAATACTCAGCTATAAAATGGAATAAATGATATACACAAGAATGTGGATGCATCTTTAAAACACAGTTCAGCAAAATAAAGACAGGAGTGTACATACTGTATGAGTCCATTTGTAGAAAGTTCTACAGTAGACAAAAGTTCTTCTCTGTGGAAATTGAAGTCAGAAAGTGATTGCCTTGGAGCAGGTGGGGTGGGATAGCTAGGAAGGAGCCTACGGGAAACTTTTGGGGTGATGGAGATGTTCTGTATCTTGTTTTGGATGGTGATCTTGTGGGTATTTAAAATTATTAAAACTCATCTAAATGAACATTTAAAAACTGGTTGTTTTATTGTATATAAATTGTACTTTAATTAAACACACACACTCAGAAACATACTTTCAGTGGCTCTTAGAATAAAGAAAAAACTTCCTCATGGGATCTACAAAGCACTGTCAGGTCTATTCTGCCAGTCCTCATCCTGCACCGACTTCCCCCTGGCTTTCCCTGAGTCAGCTACAGTGGCTCTTACTTCATCTACAGTGGGGATAACCTCTCCAAAGAGCCTTTGCACAGGCTGTTCCTTTGTGTAAACTGTTCTTCCCAGCCCTCTTTTTCTAGCCCACCTGGCCTCTCCTTCAGATCTCAATTCAGTTGTCGCTTCCTTAGGAAAGTTCTTTCCTGAACTCCCTGATTAGACCAACCCTCCTGGTACATACCCTCATTTCATGACGCACCACTCCTCTATTTCAACAGTAGCATTAGCTACATTTATCGGTGTGTTTTTATAGATCAGTGTCCAGCGTACTCACTAGTTTGTAAGTTAGGGCAGGAACCATTGCTCGTTCTCCAATGTATTTCCCTTGCCTAACCATAGAGTTTGGCATGCAGTAGATACTCAAGAATTATAGGATGATTGAATGAGGGATCTGTTGATTTTCTTACTTATAGGAAATGGTGACTATTACAGTAGTGGGAATGATCTGACTAACTTCACTGATATTCCCCCTGGTGGAGTAGAGGAGAAAGCTAAAAATAATGCCGTTTTACTGAGGTAAGAGTTACTGACCTTTGTCTGATCCCAGAGGGCCCGTTCTTAGTCATCAAAGTGGTATTTAGTTGAGCAAAAGTGCAATATCTGCTTCTCTGTGTCAGTGCAGTTAATTGTGACTTTGGACAAGCATATTTCTCTAAACTGCCTCCATCCATAGGTGGGCATTCATTCTTTCTCTTTGACCTCTGTTACCTGTTCATCCTGCTGGTCTCATGAGATTTGACTGGAAAACATAAAAGTGAGCTATAGTTGTAAACAAAATTATCTTGCACTGAGGCAGAGGAATTTAGCAAATTCTCATCCAGCCAGAGGAATGGGAGATTTCCATGAACGCTGAAGGTAGGAGACTCGGAGGAGTCTTGTAAACACAGGAGGAGGTCATGAAGGCTTTTCTCTTTATTCCTGCCAAATCTGTAATTCCCACTTGTTGTGATATTGCAGCATGTGCTCAGTCACCCAACCTAATCTCTAAGACTGCGGCTGGTTTACAGCCCTGAACTCACTGTCCAGAATACAAGATTCAAACCAGGGTTGACCCATAGGTCTCACTGGTTGGTCTTCCATCCACTGCCATTCAGACGGATGCCCTGGATGAATCTGGTGCGGAAGACCAGGGAAGTGGCAGGACAAGGAGGCACTGCTGGTGGTGGCTGTGGAAACACCCAGCCTGACAGAAGGCTTTATCTCAGAGTCAGACTGTCTTGCCCATGCTTTAGTCATGCTGCTTTGGCACATTTAATGATTTTGTGTTTCCATTTCTGTAGGGAATTTGTGGGCTGTTTTATAGATTTTCCTAAGCCTCTGATTGCAGTGGTCAATGGTCCAGCTGTGGGCATCTCCGTCACCCTCCTTGGGCTATTCGATGCCGTGTATGCATCTGACAGGGTAAGTCAGCTCCTAGAAAGCAAGAGGTCAGGCAAGCAGCGCGAGATGAGAGCCTTTGAATCCTCCTTCAGCGTTGCCAGTCATAAGCAGGTTACATGTTGTTTGTGGTAGAATTAACTGAATTTAGATTTTTCCCAAAGCATTAGGCTGATTTGACTGATTTTATTTTTCCTTCATTATTAACTTGCATTTTGTTGTGAACATTGTTCCAACTCTGACTGTTCCGGATTCTAATCAAATTCCACAATAGGTATACAGCTTTCATGTTATTCTGAAAGATTCAGGAGACACTTGAAAATTTGTTATGGGAGGGAGGAATAGCATCTTTGCAGGTTGTGCAAGGGATTAGTTGATCCTTTTTACTGAGTAAATGGATTTAGAATTTTAGAAGGAGAAGGACCTGTGAGCATTATCTACTGTCACTCCCTCCTTTGCAGATAAGAAAACTGAAGCTCTGAGAAGTTCCTTGCCCAGAACACAATTCAGCCTTGTGTTCACCATTGCATTATACAGATTTTAGTTTTTATTTTTACTACAGTAGTAATATATATGTCATAGTGGAAAATAAAATTTTGAAAGATATGAAAAAGTACCAAGAAAAGCTACAAGGTAAAAATCACTCCTTATCTTGCCACCTAGAGATAACCAGTCCTAACGTTTGGGTTATTAACTTATCTTGTTTAACCAGTCCCTGACTGCTGGAACCCTAGGCTGTTTCCAATTTTTATCATTACAAGCACCTAATAACCACCTTTAGGGTATCAGATTGTCCAGTGACTTATGCTTATGTGATGGTAAACTGTGCTGATGATTGCAGCCTTCTAGGGAGCATATGGTTTTTACCACTGAAGAGATTTCTAGTTTTGTTCAGAGGTATTTTCCCCACTGATAGACAGGACCATATAATAGCATCCTTAATTCTTCGAATTTTCTTTTGCTGGATTCCATTGAACCAGATTGGATGTATTGACAGACCTAATTCTTATGAATAATTTTCCCACAAAATTAGCAAATGAGATTCTAGGTGCCAGGCTGCCCAGCCTTTGTAGGTAGAGGTTTCTGTTCAAAGGCAGAAATCAATGTCTTTGTTCACAGTCTGTGTATTAGATGACTGATTAGTCATTGACCTGCTTTTAACAGGGACTGGGTCAATGGTTCCTGACCTAAAATTGGGGATCTCATTCTTTAATACTTGGAGGGCAAATATTGTATTTGAATCTTGTTCTGATTCTCCCACTGAATTGAAAATTACTTTCAATATACATCATCCTTATTTTTTTTTTTTTAAGAGATGGGAGTCTCACTCTGTCACCCAAGCTGGAATGCAGTGGCACGATCTTGGCTCACTGCAGCCACCACCTCCCGGGTTCAAGCGATTCTCCCACTCAGCCTCCTGAGTAGTACAGGTGCGTGCCACCACATCGAGCTAATTTTTTTGTATTTTTAGTAGAGACAGGGTTTCACTGTGTCGGCCAGGCTGGTCTCGAACTCCTGACCTCAAGTGATTCGCCTGCGTTGGCCTCCTGAAGTGCTGGGAGTACAGGTGTGAGCCACTGAGCCTGGCCTGCATCAACCTTTTAAAAATGTTGATGACTTCCATCTTATGATATAAATTGTAATAAATGTTGAAATCAGAAAACATATATACATAATACATATAAAACATATCTATTCTATATATATTATAATATATGTATATTGCATATATATATTAAATGCTAAAAAATTTGGCCAAAAGTAAAATTTATTTGTCAAATAGTGTCTTCTGATAAAAGTTTACCCAACCAAACAAATCAAGCATCATTTAAAATAAAGGAAATTGAGGTGGGCAGATCACCTGAGGTCAGGAGTTCAAGACCAGCCTGGCCAACATGGTGAAACACCATCTCTACTAAAAATATAAAAATTAGCCGGGCTTGGTGGCGGGTGTCTGTAATCCCAGCTACATTGGAGGCTGAGGCAGGAGAATTGCTTGAACCCAGGAGGTAGAGGTTGCAGTGAGCCGAGATCGTACCACTGCACTCCAGCCTAGGTGACAGAGCGAGACTCTGTCTCAAAAAAATATATAAGTAAAAAATAAATAAAATAAAGGAAATATGCTAAAGGAAAAGGCTGTAGAAAAAATTGTTTTATAAGATTTACCATTATTGGCTTCAAGAATAAATATCATATTAAATGATGGGTTAATATTTAACCCATATAACCAAAATATTAATCAGTACATTTAATCTATTTTATACTGTGGGCAATGGTTAATAATGCCTATTAGCTCTGTCAGCAAATGATACATTTCCTGTATGAGTTAAGAAAAAGGTAGAAATCATAACAATAATAAATCTTTGAGTGGTCACTGTTTAGGCACTCTATTCACATGCATTATGTATATTATAAATATACGCATACACACACACATATTCACGTAATGTACAGAGTAGCCCGATGAAAGAAGGACTTGGCCAGGCACAGTGGCTCACGCCTCTAATCCTGGCACTTTGGGAGGCCAGGGCAAGTGGATCACCTGAGGTCGGGAGTTCAAGACCAGCCTGGCCAATGTGGTGAAACCCCTTCTCTACTAAAAATACAAAAATTAGCCAGGTGTGGTGGCAGGCGCCTGTAGTCCCAGCTACTTGGTAGGCTGAGGCAAGAGTAAGGCTGGGCAACAGAGTGAGACCCTGTCTATAAAAACAAACATTCTCCTCCAATGTGGCAAAAATAAGTTTTACAATCTAGGCTGGGCATGGTGGCTCATGCCTGTAATCTTAGCACTTTGGGAGGCCAAGGCAGGTGGATCACTTGAGGTCAGGAATTCGAGACCAGCCTGGCCAACATGGTGAAGCCCCGTCTCTACTAAAAATACAAAAATGAGCTGGGTGTGGTGGTGCACGCCTATAATCCCAACTGCTCGGGAGGCTGAGGCAGGAGAATCGCTTGAACCCGGGAGGCGGAGGTTGCAGCGAGTTGAGATTGCGCCACTGCACTCAAGGCTGGGCAACCGAGCAAGACTCCGTCTCAAAAAAAAAAAAAAGCAAAGAAGGATTGGTTCCCATTTTACAAATGAGAAAACTGTGGTACAGAGAGGGTAAGAAACTTTCCCAACGTCCCTAAGTAGTCTGACGCCAGAGCCTAAACCCTTAACTCCACCTGCTGCTCTCTTTCTGAAAATCAGCATTTTAAATGCTGCTTACTGGCAACTTTGCATGTACCTGTTTGTGTCCCTTTAGCTGTTGTTGGCAGGTTTCTCAGTTTCCTGCTTGTATTCCTTAGGCTGTGTCTTCTGGGTACATTTTTTTGAATAAGTTTTCTTTTGGATAAAAAAAGAAGATACATGACATTAACAGAAACTTTTAAAAATATTGTGATTATTTTTATGTATATGCTGCATATGTTATAGATTTATATCTTCTAACAGTTATATAGTAAAAACAACAGCGTGTCTGATTATAGGAAATGAAATCTAAATATTCTTTTACATATTATGAATTTTAAATTAACATTCTTTCATAATTTATTCATTAAGAAACACAAAAATATGTCTTAAATGTAAAAAAAAAAAAAACTAAAAATGACTATATACTAAATAACCAATATTGAATTAATTCCAGTAGTTAAAGCCAACCAAAAAAACCACTGGGGCAAAATCAAGACAAATGACAGATTGAGGAAACAATTTTTCAACTCATGTAACAAAAGCTGATCTCTCCACGATACTTTTTAAAGTTTGTCTATAAAGCGATAGATCCACAAGCTAAAATAAAAATGGGCAATGGTGAGGAATGAATAGGTCAGACAAAATGAAATATAAAGGGCTATTAAAACCATATGAGAGAAACCACTGAGAAAATGAAAAGATAAGCCATAGACCAGGAGAAAAGATTTGCCTGACGCTCTAATAAAAGACTTGCAATCTGAATGTGTATCTTACAACTATATAATAGGAAGGTAAACAGCCTAACTTAAAAAAATAGTGGAGAAAATATCTTAACAGTTGCTTCACCAAAGAAAATATACGTATGTCTAATAAGTACATGGTAAGAGACTTAATACCATTAATGGTTAGGGACATGTAAATTAAAACCACAGTGAGACCCCACTACATACATACTAGCATGGTTAAAATGAAAAAGACTTAATAGCTAGGTTTAGTGAGGATGTGGAGCAATTGGAACTTTCATACATTGCTGGTGGGAATGTCAAATGGTACAACCACTCTAGAAAACAGTCTAGCAGCTTCTGAGCTAAATATACATTTACCACACAGACCAGCCATACCACTTAGGTATTTACCTATGATAATTTAAAAGAGATTCACCCAGTGACCTGTACACAAGTGTTCCTAACTGCCTTTTTGTTAACATTATCTGAACATTTTTATTTTTAAATTTTTTTTCAGTTTCATTGAGGTATACTTGACAAATAAGAATTGTACAGTCAGGTGCTGCATAACAACATTTTAGTCAATGGCAGACTGCATGTAAAACGCTGGTCTCCTAAGATTATAACACCATATCTTACTATACCTTTTCTTTTTTTTTTTTCACTCTGTCATCCAGGCTGGAGTACAGTGGCATGATCTCGGCTCACTGCAGCCTCCTCCTCCCGGGTTCAAGCAATTCTTGTGCCTCAGCCTCCCGAGTAGCTGGGACTCCAGGTGCACACCACCACACCAGGCTAATTTTTGTATTTTTAGTAGAGATGGGGTTTCACTACGTTGGCCAGGCTGGTCTCGAACTGCTGACCTCAGGTGATTTGCCCACCTCTGCCTCCCAAAGTGTTGGGATTACAGGCATGAGCCACCACACCCGGCCTACCTTTTCTATGTTTGATATATTTAGATACACAAATGCCATTTGTTATAACTGCCTAGAGTATTAAGTATAGTAACATGCTGTCCAAGTTGGTAGCCTGGAAGCAGTAGGGATTACCACATAGCTAGGTGTGCAGTAGGCTGTGGCATCCAAGTATATGTAAGTATACTCCATGATATTGGCACAATGACAAAATTGCCTAATTATGCATTTCTCAGAACATATCCCCATTGTTAAGCAACACACGACTAGATATATTTAAGGTGTTCAACTTGTTTTTCATAGCAGCCTTCTTCATAGTAGCCTTTCATACGTTGCTAGTGGCAGTGTCAAATGGTACAACCATTTGAATGCTAGAAACAACACCAATGGCATTAACTGGTGAATGATAAACATATTATTGTGCATCCATACAAAGGAATACTACTCAGAAATAGCGAGGAACAAACTACTAATACATACAACAGCATGGTGACTCTCAGAAGTCAGACTCAAAATGCTACAGAATGTAGGATTCCACTTATACAGCATTCTATAAAAGTCAAAACTGTAGGGACAGAAAACAGATTAGCAGTTGCTTGGGGGTGGGAGGGAGGGACTGACTACAGAAGGGCCCCCGGAACCTTTCAGGGTGGCTGAAATGTTCCGCATGTCAGTAGTGGTGGTGGCTATGTAACTCTCTATTTGTTCAAACTCATCCAACTATACACTTTTAAAGGGTGAATTGTGTGTGCATATTAACCACATAATCTTAATTTTTAAATAAATATTATTAAGTATTGTGAAGTTATAAGCAAATCGTGATTTTTAAAAATAACACATGAAGCCAGGCATGGTGGCTCACGCCTGTGATCCTAGCACTTTGGGAGGCCGAGGCAGGTGGATCACCTGAGGTAAGAAGTTTGAAACCAACCTGGCCAACAGGGCGAAACCCCGTCTCTACGAAAAATACAAAAATTAGCCAGGCATGGCAGCGCATGCCTGTAATCGTAGCTGCTGTGGAGGCTGAGGCAGGAGAATCGCTTGAACCCAAGGGGTGGAGGTTGCAGTGAGCCGAGATCGCGCCACTTCACTGCAGCCTGGGCAAAAGAGCGAAACCCTTTGTCTCAAAAAAAAAAAAAAAAATCACACATGAAAAGATGGTTTTCTTTTCTCTCCTGCCTCTGCAGGCAACATTTCATACACCATTTAGTCACCTAGGCCAAAGTCCGGAAGGATGCTCCTCTTACACTTTTCCGAAGATAATGAGCCCAGCCAAGGTAACTTTTGGAATGTTTAAATATAAAATTTTATGAGTCATCTCAAGAAAGAAGGAAGAGTAATCTCATATACTCTCCCTTCTTTCCCTTGGTAATATGGACAAAAGAGAAGCTAATGATTTGCTTTTCAACTCTTTAAGAGTTTTACCAATGGAGGAATCAGGCTATGGGAAGTATCTGCTATGCAGGAAAATTAGAAATTCTCTCTGCAGTTCCCAGAACTGGGATCCTCCTCTTCAGCTGGCTGCTTAGTGCTAGCTGCACTGCAAGCAGCACAGCACCTCAGCCTTGCAGCTGTGTGGCATTAGTCACTTGAAGGACCAGGGCTGTGCCAGCCTCCCTTGGTCCCCTGAGTTTGGAGGCCACTCGGTTCCTTTATGGATGACCAGTATCTCCTAAGGAGAGACATGATGACGTCTTCACTTTCAGAGTTACAGTAAGTACCAACAGATGGGAGGTTTTGTGGGGGCTCACGGCTGCCAGAGCCACCCCCAATCACAGCAGCCCTTCCATCAGCCTGCTCACGGGTGTATTCTCTCCCAGGCTGGTTAAGTGGCTGCTCAGGTCTTTCACTGTGTTTCCTAGTTGCCCACGCCCTGTGGCATGACTCGAAGGGGATTGTGACAAGACCAGAAGCTGAGCTATAGGAAAAGGCTTAGCAAATATTGCTGCAAGATCTCAAAGTGGGGCAGTGGGAATTGAGCTTGTTTTCATTGCCTATTAGGATTTTGTTAAAAACTTATATATGTATGTTTTTACTCTCATTAGGCTATCACATACCCTGAATTGAACTTGGGAAGGGGGCAGAACTGACTCTACAAGTCTTAGAGCATTTGGCTATTAGAGCATTCCTTGGCTGGGTGCAGTGGCTCACACCTGTAATCCCAGCACTTTGGGAGGCCAAGGCTGGTGGATCACTTGAGATCAGGAGTTCAAGACCAGCCGGGCCAACATAGTGAAATGCTGTCTCTACTAAAAATACAAAAATTAGCCGGGGCATGGTGGCGGGCACCTGTAATCCCAGCTACTCAAGAGGCTGAGGCAGGAGAATCATTTGAACCCAGGAGGTGGAGGTTACAGTGAGCCAAGATCGTGCCTCTGCACTCCAGCCTGGGCAGCACAGTGAGACTCTGTCTCAAAAAAAAGAAGAGCATTCCTTTTCTGGAAAAGAAATTGCAAATGGAGAGAGGATATCCACTTAATGTCCTCAGTTTTTTCGGAAGCTAACTATAAGTCTTTGCTTTCCTTTAGTCAAATAGAACTAATTTGAGTACCAATGCAGGTAAAGAAAACTCTCAGAGCCAGATCACTGGGTAGTTTCCAGAGAATGGAATTTTGAAAGTTTCTAAAGGTTGACCCAATGACCGTAATTTTTCTCTCCTTTTTTCCTCTGTAAAATAATAGTTTATAGTGTATCAAATGGAAAATCATAGCTGCTGTGGGTTATAGAATCAAGCATCTGCTTCAGATCATTTCTGCCCTGGACCCCCTGATCTTGCCCCTCCAACAACGATACACAGAAGCAGCAGCCCTTATAGACCTTCCCAGGAGCCTGTCTCAGCACACAGTTTGCAAACCGTTGCCTATTGAGGTCATCAGCTTCTCCCTTACTGAGAAATACCAGCAACCTCAAAAGACCATGAGTACATCTCTCTAAGCCTCCTGAAAGCAGTTAACTGAAGCCTTGTTTTATTAAGTTAGTATCTTAACCTTGCTTCTTGCTTTTCATTTCAGGCAACAGAGATGCTTATTTTTGGAAAGAAGTTAACAGCGGGAGAGGCATGTGCTCAAGGACTTGTTACTGAAGTTTTCCCTGATAGCACTTTTCAGAAAGAAGTCTGGACCAGGCTGAAGGCATTTGCAAAGCTTCCCCCAAATGTTAGTATTCATCTTTTACTTCTAAGAACCTTGAAAATGATTTCCTAAGGGAAAAATTTATTTGCCTTCAGAGAATAAGTCATAAAAAGCACAAGACACATCTTTAGTTACCTCTAAGCACATCTAAATTTGGAATTAAAAAATAACTGTAGTAATGTTGGAAATGCAGTACTGATTTTTACAAAACTTATCAAATAGACCTTCCATTTCTGTGTGGGGACAGAGGGCAATTCTGTATGGGGATTACTTGAGCAGGATGCTAGGCAGTATTTGCTGAGCACTTTTACTTTGGAATCCAGGTGAGAAGCATGGATTAGCTACTTTGAGAGTCTTATTGTATAGCACTTTTGTTTTTGTATGTGGTAGTGAGTGACTGATTGCTTTTATATTCTTGCTATTCAAAATGTAGTCCTGGAGCCAGAAGCTTGAGCAGCTACCTGAGGCTTTTTGGAAATGTATTATCACAGGCCTGCCCCACACCTACTGAAGCGATTTATATGCACACTGAATTTTGAGAAGCACTGTCTTATATTACACATGCAGCTTAAGATTTAACAGCATTAGGGCCGAGAACAGTGGCTCACACCTGTAGTCTCAGTACTTTGGGAGGCCAAGAAGGGCAGATCACCTGAGGTCAGGAGTTCAAGAACAGCCTGGCCAACATGGCAAAACCACATCTCTATTTAAAAAATACAAAAATTAGCCAGGCGTGGTGGTGGGCGCCTGTAATCCCAGCTACTCTGGATGCTGAGGCAGGGAGAATTGCTTGAACCCGGGAGGCAGAGGTTGCAATGAGCCAAGATTGCACCACTGCACTCCAGCCTGGGCGACAGAGTGAGACTATGTCTCAGAAAAAAAAAAAAGATTTAACAGGATTTATTAAATGAACATGGGAGAAACAAGAACCAGAATCATAGAATAATCTCACTCCTATTAGATTAACTCTTTTTTTCTTTTTGAGACAGAGTCTCACTTGTCACCCAGGCTGGAGTGCAATGGTGCGATCTCAGCTCACTGCAACCTCCGCCTCCCGGGTTCAAGCAATTCTCTTGACTCAGCCTCCTGAGTAGCTGGGATCACAGGCATGTACCACCACAACCAGCTAATTTTTGTATTTTTAGTAGAGATGGGGTTTCACCATGTTGGCCAGGCTGGTCTTGAACTCCTGACCTCAACTGATCTGCCCGCCTCGGCCTCCCCAAGTGCTGGGATTACAGGCATGAGTCCACGTCCAGCCTAGGTCAACTCTTAACCTTATTGTTGGTTTTGTTTTTCCAGGCCTTGAGAATTTCAAAAGAGGTAATCAGGAAAAGAGAGAGAGAAAAACTACACGCTGTTAATGCTGAAGAATGCAATGTCCTTCAGGGAAGATGGCTATCAGATGAATGCACAAATGCTGTGGTGAACTTCTTATCCAGAAAATCAAAACTGTGATGACCACTACAGCAGAGTAAAGCATGTCCAAGGAAGGATGTGCTGTTACCTCTGATTTCCAGTACTGGAACTAAATAAGCTTCATTGTGCCTTTTGTAGTGCTAGAATATCAATTACAATGATGATATTTCACTACAGCTCTGATGAATAAAAAGTTTTGTAAAACAAGCTTAAGAATTCACACAGGTGTTTGGTAGTAGAGAGTCTTACGTCTTTTGACATGAATCGTTGTTGCCAGGAACACTGGAACATGGTGCCTGGGGTCCTACTTTGAAAAGCACTCACAGCATTACAGGCTGAAGTCATGTCTTTGAATGCCACTATAGCACTTTGACGTCCACAAACAGTGGCTGACTGAATTGGGCCAAATGCTGACAGCCTACAGATCACTGACTTGAGGTCTTCAGTGGGTTGCATGTTCTTTTTCAGCCATGTAGCAAGGGAGCAAAATGGAAGGAATAGTATTACTAGAAAACAAATAAGAATCAAGAATAAGAATAAGAACCCAAATAAGAATCTTAGTTGGGTTTTTTTGCACAATTTAATAAAGAGGCATGAAGGGAAAACTGGGTCATTTCATTGGAAAGCAATGCTCTGTATGAGTAATTGTTTTCTTATTTGTTAGAGTCCCATTCTTGTTTAATGTGGTACTTTATGAAAGGCATCCCTGCAAGCTGCCTTGATTGTCCTTGTAACACCCTGTTTTGATTTCATAGCTATCACTTGACAAGGACTGAGGGTGTAATTCCAAGGGCTACAGAAAAGGATGGGATATTTTGCTTTTCTTAGTCTTCCTTTTGACCTTTCCTTTAAGGTCAAAGTTAGCTAACTCACCAAATCTCTTAACTTTTTAGTTCTAAATTTTTTATTCCAGTAATTGTAATCCAAGATGTTCAGTTTTATAGAAAATATAAGAATAGAAATAAGCATTCGTTTCAATTGAGCAGTTACTAGTGCTTAATGCCCATTATCATATTTTATCCACCAAAAACAATGCCAAAAATTAAAAATGAGGTAGGTCTGTTGCTACTACCCATTTTCAAGTAGGCATCCCGAGGCATGGAGATTAAACTAGCTTCTCCAGAGTCAAACTCCCAGTAAATGTCAAAATGAAGATAAAAATCTAGGCAGAGTTCTCATCCCACAATGGCAGCACAAGCCAACTACTGCCCATTCCTCCACAAATTACAACTAAAATCTCTAGAAGAAATACGAAAAAGAACTACTTGAGCATGCTGAAATTAATCAAAAGCAGGTGGATTGTTAAAGGGTGTCAAAATACAGAGAAGCAACTGCACAAGGATAAGTTTCCCAGATTATGAGAAATAAACACAATTGCTGGAATCTAACTCCGGAGCATGGTATTAGAAGTAAGGCAAAACTGCAGTTACTTTTGCACCAACCTAATACTTCTGCCTCAGAGGCACACCCCTATTGTGGGGTGGTGCTGCGGTGACCATGGAGTGGCCAGCCAAATAGAAGTTGAGGAAAACAAAAACACTTTGAAAAGGAAAAGGGCCCTCTGGGGGCTAAAGAGTGAAAGCAAGAAGAGACTCCCAGAGCCAAGAGAAAGAAGCTCTAATTCTGTGTATGAACCTAGATAAGTCTGATTCATAAGTGAGACAGACTCAAACCAGCATAGCAAAGGCTTTGCGAAGTGTACTGGGATTTTAACCACCACCCACAGAAGATCAAGACAGCTTGTAGTCTGAACCTAACCAGATTGATTTCTTGCTAAAACAAAAATGGCATTTTCCAGATGATTGTAACATGATCCACAAAAACATAACTTCCATCCAATGCCACAATATAGTAAATACAGTAAATATCCAGGATCCATATGACATAATATTGGATCCAACCATACAATAGAATATCTAAGGCCCTGAGAAGAAGCTGTCATATGGATCCAGGATCCATATGACATAATATTTACAAAATGATGTGACATAAAAAGAAACATGGAAATGTGAACACTTGGACAGAAGGAGCAGAGTGAAACTTGTTGCAACATCCTGGCCTGTCTGTGGGCTGCCTACAGAAATGGTGTCTGTAATGTCCAACTCAGGTATCAGACTGGAGACAGCAAATAGTTTTGATTTCAGGCTGGAAGCCACAGAAGGCAGTGGTGAGCAATGCAGCACATGAAAACTACACAGGGATTGCTGCCCTGTGGACCTCTGAGGGCAGGAGATTACAGAGGAATACAATAGAATATCTAAGGCCCTAAGAAAAAGCTGCAGTGAGACTGTTTAGGAAATGAAGACCTTTAAAATCACCTTTGATGGGGACAGGGAGCACACACACATTCACAGGAAGGAAGCATGCCTAGAAAAGACCTGAGAAGACCTGGACTAATCTCAGATTAGTGAAGACCTCATGGACTTACAAATTAGTGAGGTCTTACATGCCAGTCTGCAAAGACTGGGAGAGTGGCCATATTTTTTTTAAATACCCAATTTTCAAAAAAAGATCATAAGGCATGCAAAGAACCAGGGAAAGATGGCCCACTGAAATGAACAAAACACATCTCCAGAAACAGTTCTGGAAGAAACACAGGCATCAGGCTTACTAGACTTTAAAACAACTGTCAGCCAGGTGCGATGGCTCATGCCTATAATCCCAGCACTTTGGGAGGCCAAGGCAGTCAGATCACTTGAGGCCAGGAGTTGACACTAGCCTGGCCAACATAGTGAAACCCCATCTCTACTAAAAATACAAAAAAATTAGCAGAGCATGGTGCTGCACACCTGTAATCCCAGCTACTCAGAAGGCTGAGGCATGAGAATCACTGGAACCCAGGAGGCAGAGGTTGCAGTGAGCCAAGATCACATGACTGCGCTTCAGCCTGGGCAACAGAGTGAGAGTCTGTCTCAAAACAACAACAAAAAAAAACCACAAATGTCAAATATACTCGCAGAACTGTAGAAAAACATGAACAAAGAACAAAGGAAAGTCAAGAAAACATATGAACAAAATGAGAACATCAACAAAGAAATTATAAAAAAAAATATTGAGCTGAAAAGTACAATAACTAATTTGAAAATTTTATTAGAGGAGTTCAACAGCAAACTCAAATAAGTAGAAGAAAGAATAAGCAAATTTGAAAACAGCTCATTTGAAATTATTGAATTTGAGAAGCATACAGAAGAAAAAATAAAGTGAACAGAGGCTTAGGGACTTATGAGATGCCATCACACTGACCAATATATGCATAATGGGAGTCCCAGAAGGAGGTGAGAAAAATGAGGAGAGAGACTATTTGAATAAATAATAGCTGAAAACCTGCCAAATATGAGGAAAGACATGGATATACAAATCCAAGCTCAATGGTCTCCAAGTAGGACAAACCTGAAGAGACCCATACGAAGACACATAATCAAAGCTGACAAAAGTGCAAGATAAAGAGAATCTTGGAAGGCATCAAGAGAAAAGTGACTATATACAAGAGATCTGCGATAAGACTATCCGAGTATTATTTCAGCAAGAACCTTGGAGACTAGAGGCAGTGGGGTGATATATTTAAAGTGCTGAAAATTTTAAAAAAAACTGTCAACTGAGAGTTCTATACCTGGTAAAATGTTTCTTCAAAAATGAGGGAGAAATTAAGACATTCCCATAAAAACAAAAGCTGAGGGAATTTATTATTACTACACTTGCCCTACAAGAAATGTTAAAGGAAGTCCTCCAGTTTGAAATGAAATAATGCTAGATAGTAACTGGAAGACAGATGAAAATATAAAGTTCTCCAGTAAAGGTAAATATATGAACAAATATAAAAACAGTATTAATGTAATTTTGGTTTATAACTCCACTTTTGATTTTCTACAGGATTTAAGAGACAATTGCATAAAATAATTATGAATATATGTTAATGAATATATAATATTAAACCGTATAATTTGTGACATCAATAACATAAGGGGAGAAAAGCTTTAAGGAAGTAGAGTTTTTATATGCAATTGAAGTTAAGTTGGTATCAATTAAGATAGATCATCATAACTCTAGGATGTTATATGTAGTGCACATAGTAAACACCAAGAAAATATACGCAAGCAGAAGTGAGAATCAAAATATGCCATTACAACAACTTTAAACATGAAGGAAGGCAGTAATCAAGGAAATGAGGGAGAAAAAAACCTGTAAGGGACAGAGAAAACAACAAAATGGCAAAACTAATTGCTTTCTTTTCAGCAATTTATATGTAATTGGATTGAAAACATATCAAAAATCATAAGTTGGCAGAGTGGGTATAAAACCAGGATCAACTATATACTGTTTAAAAGAGTCTCACTTTAGATCTAAGGATATGAGTAGGGTGAAAGTGGAAGGATTAAAAAGATATTCCATGCCAATAGTAATAAAAAGAGAGCAGAAATGGCTATACTAATTGACAAAATAGACTTTAAGTCAAAAACTGTTAAAAGAGACAAAGACAGACATAATATAATGCTAAAAGTCTCAATTTACCAAGAAGATATGACAATTATAAACATATGCACTAAATATTAGAGCTCCAAAATATATGAAGCAAACATTGACAGAATTGAAGAATAAATGGCCCTACAATAATAGTAGAAAACTTCAATACCTCCACTTTCTTCAGTGGATAGAGAACCAGGTAGAAGATCATAGGGGAATATAGGACTTAAAAAACACTATAGACCCACTGGACCCAGCAGACACATACAGTACACTGCACTTAACAACAACAGAATATGTATTTTTTAAGTGCACATGGAGCATTTTCCATATGTTAAGCCATAGGACATCTTAATAGATTTAAAAATTGAAATACAAAATATCATTTCTCATCACAATGAAATGAAACTAGAAGTTAACAGCAAAAACCTGGACAATTCACAAGTATGTAGAAATTAACACACTTTTAAATAACCAATGGGTCAAGAAAAATCACAAAAAATTTAAAATATCTTGACACAAATGAAAACACGACAAACCAAAACTTATGGGAGGATCTGAAAGCAGTGCTAAGATGGAAATTTGCAGCTGCAAACACATTAAGAAAAAAGAAAGATTTTGAATAAACAGCCTAGATTTACACCATAAGAAACTAGAAAAAGAACAAACTAAATCCAAAACTAGCAGAAAGAAGGAAAAAATAAAGATTAAAGATAAATAAATACTAGCAATGAAAATTCCAAAAAGGAAATTGAGAAAAACCATTCAATTTATAATAACATCAAAAATAACCAAATTTAGGAATGAGTTTATCCAATGAGGCATAATACTTAGTGAAAACTACAAAACATTACTGAAATAAATTACAGAAGACAAATAAATAAATGGGAAGACTTCACATGTTCACGGATTAAAAGACTTAGTATTATTGAGATATTAATACTACCCAAGGTGATTTGCAGATTTAATGTAATTCTATCAAGGTCCCAACAATGTGTTTGCAGATATGTAAAATGTATTCTAAAATGCATATGGAATCTTAAGGGACCCCAAATAGGCATAATTACCATACAATCCCACAATTCCACTTCTGGGTATGTCTTAGTCCATTTTTGTTGCTATGATAGAATACCATAAACTGAGTAATTTATAAAGAAAATATATTTATTTGGCTCATGGTTCTGGAGCCTGGGAATCCAAGATTGAGGGGCCACATGTGGTAAGGGTCTTCTTGCTGCATCATATCATGGCAAAGGCATAGCATGTCAAGGAACCACACAAGTGAAACAGAGAGAAAAAGGAGATTGACCTTCTGACATACTAACCCACTCCCACAGTAATGGCATTAATCCACTCATGAGAGCAGAACCCTCATGACCTAATCACACCTTAAAGGTCTCACCGTTCAATACATCACATGGCAATTAAATTTCTTTTTTTTTTTTTTTTTTGCCACGAAAAGATTGTTTTATTCCATGAAAATATTCTCAACAGAAAACACTACCTTTAAATGAAGGATTTACCATTAAGAAATCAACATGTGCACAAAAAGAGTACAAATTACCAAAAAATTAAAGATTTTTGGGGACATTTCACATGTTTAAAATTTAAGAATGATTTAAACTGTGCAAATACAGATGTCTTTCCTATTATAATA
Organism: Homo sapiens; assembly: GCF_000001405.40. Lineage (NCBI taxonomy): Eukaryota > Metazoa > Chordata > Mammalia > Primates > Hominidae > Homo > Homo sapiens. Next base: position 4,109,794 of record NC_000006.12, on the reverse strand, counting down.
GCCCATATACAGGTTGCACTATTCCACGTCAAGGAACTTGCCTGCTACGGAAGCAAATCCTGCTTTTAGAAAAACAAACAGTGGCTTGAAAAGAACAGTTAGTCCTTACAAGAAAGTCTTAAACTTTGCCCTCTGTGGCTGTTAACCAAAAAACCATAAGCATTTCAGGCTTTGTACAGAAGACAAACACAGCCAGATCACATTTCCTCCTCATTGCTAACCTTTAAAATAAAAATAGCACTAGATTTTAAAACTACTTCATGTAGTCTGTCAGTACTGAATAACGTCACATTATATAAATAACCCTGTAATGAGATTCAGTATCTAAACTTTATAGTTTACTAGCTGCAAAGGTAATACAATATATGTCAGCTGTGTAACAGTGGTGACTTGATCTTATGAAGGCAGTAACTTTCACACAATTGTCATTCGGCTGTAGTAAAACTGGTAGTATGATTCAAATAACACTGGGAAAAAGTTATTAAAGCAGTCACACAGCTTCTAAAATATTGCTTAAAATTCAATAATACACAAACCATTTCACATTCTTTCTCCCCTCAAAACAGTAAAGAACCAAATTAATGAAGATTCAGTGGTACAAATAACACCCCACCTGCCCCATCTCCCTATTACAACACCACTAAGAACTTAGTTAAGATACAAGTCATTAACAGAATCACAAATGCGAGGCAGGACACCATGAGCAACAGGAGCACTAACAACAATATATTTACAAGTATAAACATACAGAAATTCCATTTTACAAGTAAAAGTGCACATAGATCATTACAAAGTTTCACTAAATTTTATCAGGTTCAAACAAAAGCATCACGTGGAAACATTATCACTGTAATTATCAAACGTGATCGTCATAACCCCAAATAAAAAGACAACTGGGGGAGGTCCATAAAACTTCCCATAAAAACACTGAGGAAATTAAAATGGACTTGGACATGTCTTTAGTTTGATGCATAAATCTGAAGATGCACCACTGTATATGGTAGAGCTCTAATAGCCACCTACCGAGGCTACGTCGGCAGCTGCAGCGGTGCTGCAGAGTTAAAGGAGATCGCACTGAGCTGACACATGAAGCCCTTGGTGGGATACTGTAGTGGTAGTGTTGGCAATCAACAGATTTTATTCACAAACAAAATCTGTTTTATTCACTTAAGAGCTAGACCGGGTGATTTATTTTGCAACTCTCTTTAAATCTATTTAAATAGATTATGTGCTATGTACTTATTTTCTTCCTTTAGGAAACCAAAGTTAAGAAAAGGGAAGAAAATGAAAATGATGTTATTATTTTACCAAGTTATCCAACTACTATTTTTCTTCCTGGAAACTGTAGCTACAAATTCAAACTTCTAGAAGAAACCACTCTTTGGGGAGTCGGCTTTCCATAGCATTTCAGAGCAGTTTCACTTATTCAAATCCACTAGAGTCACTGTGTTTTCTGAAGTAAAGGGGCAGACAGCATTACTATCCATGAATTCCTGTCCAATAAATTAAATTATGTTTGTAAGGCAGAAAAACACAAATCCTTCACACAGACTTAAGCAGGACATAAAGCAAAAGGCATCAATGAAGCTTCACACCAACGTTACTCAAACAGTAAAGTGACATGGCAATTAAATTTCAACATGAGTTTTGGAGAAGACCTTTAAACCATAGCAGAGTATATACCGCAAATAATTGACTAGCAGAGACTTGAACAGATATTTGCATACAAAGCATTATTCACAAGATAGAAAAGTAAAAACAACCCAAGTGTCCATCAACAGATGAATGGATCAACAAAATGTAGTCTATACATAGAATGAAATATTATCAGCCTTAAAAAAGAATAAAATTCTGATACATGCTACAACATGGATGAACCTTGAAGACATTATGCCAAGTGAAATAAGCCAGACACAAAAGGACAAATATTGTATGATTCAATAGGCAAATTCATAGAGTCAGAAAATAGAATAATGGTTACCAGGTGCTGAGAAGAAAAAGGGGTAGAAAATTAATGTTTAAAGGAGAGACAGTTTCATTATGGGATGATGAAAATGTTCTGGAGAAGGATAGTGACGATGGTTGCATAACAATGGGAATGTACTTAATGCCACTAACTTAATTACACTTAAGCACTTAAAATGGTAAATCTTATGTTATGCACATTTTACTATAAGAAATATTTTTAAAAAGCAATGCAATTCACCATATTAATAGAATAAACATATTATTAATAGATACAGAGAAAGCATTTGACAAAATTATACATTCATGTGTGATAAAAACAAACTAGAAACAGTAGGGAACTTCTCAAACTTATAAAAGGAATCTGCAGAAACCTAGAGTAAATAAAACACTGAATTGTTTTTTCTCTGAGATTGAGAAAAAAAATGAAAGATGTCTGCTTTTACCACATCTGTTCAACATTGTACTGAAAATCTTAGTCATTGCAATAAGGCAAAGAAAGGAAATAAAAGACAAAGAATGGAAAACAAGATGTAAAAATGTTTCTCTATTTGCAGATAATATGACTATTTACATTAAAAAAAATCCCAAGGAATTATATGATCCAGTAATGCCACTTCTGGGTATTTATCCAAAAGAATTGAAATCAAAATCTTGAAGAGACATTAACACCTCTATATTCATCGCAGCACCATTCACAATAGCCAAAGTATGGGAAAAATGTAAATCTTCATTGACAGAGAAGTGGATAAAGAAAATGTGGTATATACGTACAATGAAGTACTAGTCAGCCTTTTAAAAGACAGAAATTCTGTAATATGTGACAACGTAGATGCACCTTGAGGACATGCTAAGTGAAATAAGCCAGTCACAGAAATAATGCATGATTCCATTTATATGAGGCATCTAAAACAGTCAAATTCATAGAATCAAAGAGCGTAATGATGGTTACATCCCAGGGCGTTGTGGGAGGGGGAAATGGGAATTAATGATCAACAGGCTTAAAGTTTCAGGCAATCAAGATGAATCAGCTCTAAATACCTGCTTACAACACTGTTCACAATAATGTATTGCACGCTTAAAAATTGTTGAGAGGTTTGTTAAGACCTCATGTAAAGTGTTCTTATCACAATAAAAGAGAAATCCCAGGGAATCTAAAAACTAGCTACTAGAACTAATAAATTAATTTACAAGTTTGTAGTATACCACAATAACTAACAAAAATCAATTGTATCCTTATATTTAATATTTTTCATTTACAGTGGTGCTATAAACTATAAAATACCTAGTTTTGAGGCTCAGAAAACGATACTCTAGAGTATGGCACTTTGGCACGCTGAATGCTTTGAATTAAATGAAAGCCCTTAGACTCTGCCTCCAAACCAAGGTCTCTCTAACCTTCCCTTGTTTCTTCCCACAAGTGCAGGGAGGGGCTCTCTCTGAAGTTCCCATATCTGACTGAGGGAAGTTACTCTCCGAGAAAAACAATTGCCTTTAATATTCTGTCTGAACTCTCATTAACCAGGAAAGATTAATCACCAAAGATAAAATAAAGGTTGTCACCACAACCCCCTAGACAGACTTTTCATGTACTCTTCTGAGGGCTATTCTGAGGGACTTTATCTGCATAAGGCAAACTTTGTTCATGGTGCAGTTCCTCCCCTCACCTTCCCATAACTTGTTGCCATCTCTCCCAGAGTTCAGAGGGACTTTGTCCCAGGCTATTGTCTCTTGTTTAGGCCCAGTCATCTTCCCTAAATATAATTTACTTTTCCTCTAAAATTCCTTACATCCCTCACCTTCCTCTCCCCTATGAAGCAGGCATTTAATCGTCAACCACCTGGCCCTTCTTTGAATTTTCATACCTTGTGTGACTCTCAGCACTTGCACCTTAATAAATCTGTATGCCTTTTCTCCTGTTAATCTGTCTGTTGTCAAGTTTAGCAGACGCCTTTCATCAACCTTCAGAGGGAAAAAGGAAAGCTCCTTTTACCCCTGTGCTAGTAATAAATATAACAAAAAATATCCACGACTTCTTCACTGAAAACTACAAAACATTGTTAGGAGACATTAAAGAAGACCTAACCAAAGGGCAAATATATCCTGTCCACGTTGAAAGTCTCAGTGTTATTAAGATGGAAGTTCTCCCCTACTGATCTTGATTCAACTCAATCCCAAACAAATTCTAGTAGTCCTTTTGTAGAAACTAACAAATTGGTTCTAAATTTTTATGGCAATACAAAGAACCTAAAATAATCAAAGCAATTTTTAAAGCAGAAGATCAAAGTCAGATGCCTAACACTACCTTATTTCAGGACCTGGCCACAGTAAGAAAGTCTTGTTTGGGCAAAGACATGTAGATAAATGGAGCAAAATAGGATTCAGAAATACACTCAAATATATGTGGAAATTCATTTTTTATGAATGTGCCAAAACAGGCCGGGTACAGTGGCTCATGCCTGTAATCCTAGCACTTTGAGAGGCCAAGGTGGGTGGATCACTTGAGGTCAGGAGTTTGAGACCAGCCCGGCCAACATGGTGAAACCGTCTTTACTAAAAATACAAAAATTAGTTGGGTGTGGTGGTACGCACCTGTAAACCCAGCTACTCTGGAGGCTGAAGCAGAAGAATTGCTTGAACCTGGGAGGCAGAGGTTGCAGTGAGTCAAGATCGCACCACTGCACTCCAGTCTGGATGACAGAGCAAGACTCCATCTCAAAAAAAAAAAAAAAGTGCCAAAACAATTCAATACGGAAAGGAAAATCTTTTTAACACATGCCAATGGGTCAACTAGATAGCCAAATAGAAAAAAGAAATTAACATCAAACCAATGAATATCAAACCCTATGCAAAAATAAAGTAAAATGGCCTACCAACCTAAACTTTTTTTTTTTTTTGAGACAGAGTCTTGCTCTGTTGCCCAGGTTGGAGTGCGGTGGGGCAATCTCGGCTCACTGCAAGCTCCGCCTCCCAGGTTCACACTATTCTCCTGCCTCAGCCTCCCGAGCAGCTGGGACTACAGGCGCCCACCACCACGCCCGGCTAAATTTTTGTATTTTTAGTAGAGATGGGGTTTCACTGTGTTAGCCAGGATGGTCTCGAACTCCTGACCTTGTGATCCGCCCGCCTCAGCCTCCCAAAGTGCTGGGATTACAGGCGTAAGCCGCTGTGCCTGGCCTACCAACCTAAATTTGAAGCTTAAAACTACAAAACTTCAGTAAGGAAATATAGGAGCAAGTCTTTGCAACTTTGGACTTGTCAAAGGATTCTTAGAATATAAAATGCAAAAACTGTGAAAGAAAAAAATTGATGCATTGGGAATGTAAAACCTTTGTTCTTCTGTGTTATCATGAAATAATGAAAGGCAAGCTACCATCTGGGAGAAAATATTTGCAATGCTTTTATCAAAGAATTTTGTATTGAAAATATGAAAAGAACTCTCACAACTTAATAAGGCAAAGAAAATTTAAAGCAAGCAGAAGATGTGAACCAGTCACGTCACAGAAAGTGTTTGAGACATCTTTTCTAGTAGGGGCATGGAATGATGCTCCCCAAGATCAGAACATACACATGTCCCTTCCATTGAAATCAGCAGGGGTACGTGAAAGTCAGCAGGTGTAGGAAGTGTCAGCAAGTATTTGCCAAGACCTGCCTCTAAATTCCAGAGGGATAACACATGCCCTGACCAGCCCAGTCACCTTCATTCCCACATAAAATCCAGTGCCAAGTCCCCAGAAGGAGCCTCCACACCACGTGCCAGGTCTTTTTCTCCAAACCTGCCTCGGTTCCCTTGTACCCAGGCACTCAAGCGTTGTTTTCCTGCCTTTCCATGTAGATTGGCTTGCGGCTACTGCTTCAGGATTTCTGGTCCCACTTCTGGGGGGATCACTCTAGCCCAGGTGACAGAGCAAGACTCCATCTCAAAAAAAAAAAAAAGAAAAGAAAAATGGCCAGGCACGGTGGCTCACGCCAGTAATCCCAACAATTTGTGAGGCTGAGGCGGGAGGATCACCTGAGGTCAGGAGTTCGAGACCAGCCTGGCTAACATGGTGAAACCCCGTCTCTACCAAAAATACAAAAAGTAGCTGGGTGTGGTGGTGCATGCCTGTAATCCCAGCTACTCAGGAGGCCGAGGCAGGAGAATCGCTTGAACCTGGGAGCCAGAGGTTGCAGTGAGCCAAGATTGAGCCATTGCACTCCAGCCTGGGCAACAAGAGTGAGACTCCATCTCAAAAAAAAAAAAAAAAAAAAAAAGAAAAGAAAAAGAAAAAGAAAACATTAAACGTTTTTCTTAAATGCTTACACAGCACACGAGTGGAGTAGCAAATCAACACAGACACTATAACATGGTAAGTACAATAAAAGATGAATTTTGGTATAGAGGAGGAGCGGCCCCAAGTCAGGATAAATTGCAAATGTCTATGGCAGAGAGGTGGGCAAAATAAAACCCATCGACTACCAGGCCCCGTCTTCAGTTGCTACCACATCGATGCAACAAAAACATTATGGAATCTAAACTAAAGTTCTCACATGGAACACACAGCTCTCTTCTGTTCAAGTACTGCTTTTGTCACACTTATCAAGAGAAAAAAAAATTAAGCCCTAGAGTCCATATAAATATGGCATACTGAGCCAGTAAACACAGTTTACAAGTAATTATAATTTACATGCAGTATCCAGTAGGGATTTACAGTATTATTGAGCTGGGGGTTGGAATCCTGCCAGGTTCACCAACAGGGATAAGACACCACCATCTGCAGCTCTAGACTTAGAAAATCTGTTTACCGGCATGGTCCCAGGACTCCTGGCTTTTGTGCCTGCTGATCTGTTTACATAGCACAGCACTGAAGGAACTTTGTCAAAGCCAGCAGGCCTCACGTATGATCTGCCTGTTTTGTGGCCCTAAAACTGCTATTGCCATGTGAGAGAGGGGCCTTATCCTCTCCGTGCTAGCGGGGATACACAGCATAAACTGAGCAAATGTTTGCCAGGGCAGGTTCAAGGTTAGGACCTACAGTTGCCTCAATCTAACACGTGAAAATACTGTACAATGCATTCAAATAGTACTTCATACTTGTCAAAACTCAATTTCACAGTCGTTTTTCTATCAGTGTCACAACTCTTTCTGATACAACATGAGGTATTAGCAACACCATTTTACAGGTGGTCAAGGGCACACGAATCAGTAGTGTTCAATAGCTCTTAGACAAAAACAAAGCTATTCTTCGATTAAATTGACATAATAACTGCACATATTTATGGGATACAGTGGGATGTTTTGATGCATGTTTACAATGTGTCATGATCAAATAAAGGTAATGAGCATGTCATCACCTCAAACAATTTTCATTTCTTTGTGTTGGGAACATTCAAGATGCCCTCTTCTAGCTATTTGAAAATAAACAAAAAATTATTGTTGGCTATAACCACCCTACAGTGTTATAGAACACCAGAACTTATTCCTCCTGTCTAGCTGTACTTTTGTATCGGGTAACCAACCTCTGGCTATCCACCCCTTCCCGTTACCCTTCCCAACCTCTGGCAACCACTACTCAACTCTCTACTTCTGTGAGATCAGCGTTTTCAGCTTCCACATATGAACGAGAGCATGCAGTATTCTTCCCCACTTCCTCTCACTACCTCCACTACCCTTCCCAGCCTCTAGAAACCATTCTTCTACTCTCTACCTCCATGAATACAACTGTTTTAATTTTTAGCGCCCACAAATGAGTGAGAACCTTTTGAAGTTTGTCTTTCTGGGCCTTATTTCACTTAATATAATGTCCTCTAGGCTCATCCATGCAGCCTCATATGACAGGATTTCCTTCTTTTTTATGCTAAAAAGTATTCTCTTGTGTATATACACCACATTTTTAATTCATTCATCTGTTGATGGAAACCTAGGTTGATTGCATATCTTGGCTGTTGTGAATAGTGCTGCAATGCACATGGGAGGGCAGAGAGCTCTTTGACATACTGATTTACTTTCCTTTGGGTTCACACCTAGTAGTGGGATTGCTGGGTCATATGGTAGTTCTAGTTTTATGGACAAAGCTATTATTGATGATTCTTAATAATAGTCAGGCTTGCTTTGGCTAAAGAATGAATTCTCTCAAGGGTGTCAGTTAAGTCACAAAGAATTAAGAATGATACAGTTATCAAATGACAATATTTACCATGTTACCAGGTAATAGGAGAAGAATCATTAATGCCAGGAGGCATCATCAGAACTAGAACAGTTAATTCAGCAGATCCTTCAGGAATCTGGAGTCACAGCAACCAAGACAAGGTTCATGATTGATTGATTGCAAAATGGGCCTAATCCTCCCACCTGTCCTGTACCGAAGCCCCCTGCAACATGACTTTGCACCTCCTTCCACTGGGGCGAAGCCTGTTTCTCCACCTCTTGAATCCCTGCCCAACACTGTTTTCCTGCTTCCACTTTGATGCAACACCACTCCCAGGAAACCTTTTGCATTCTTATTTCTATCTCAGCGCTTGAGACTCCAACCTGTAACACTAGGAATACAAAAATAAATAAGATAGGCTGACAGTCCCTGCTTTTAAGGAAAGCAAATAAATGTTTGTAAAATAAAATGTTAAAAAAAAGTACCATTTCCTATGTTCTGATACTCTAGCTATATTTTCAGAAAGCAAACTAGGATATAAAGATCTATAACTTCATATGAAGACATCAGGACCTAAAATTGAGGTGTACAAACTTTCTATGGTTGTGAAACTTGAATGTTTAAAAATAGGTCTTGTGTTATTCTGTCTTCACATTGCTATAAAGAACTACATGAGACTGGGTAATTTACGAAGAAAAGAGGTTTAACTGAATCATAGATCCACGGGCTTAACAGGAAGCATGATTGGGAAGCCTCAGGAAACTTACAATCAGGGCAGAAAGCAAAGGGGAAGCCAGGCACATCTTATCGTGGTGGAGCAGGAGAGAGAGGGAGAGCGAGGGGAGAAGTGCAACACTTTAAAACCAACAGATCTCTTGAGAACTACTCACTATCATGAGAACAGCAAGGAGGAAATCTGTTCCCATGATCCAATCACCTCCCACCAGGCCCCTCCTCCAACATGTGGGGATTACGATTCAAAATGGGATTTGGGTGGGGACAGAGCCAAATCATATCAGGCTTCCAAAGCATGGTCAAATAATCTTCACTTGAGTAATCAGATATCATCACTTAATATAACCTTTACCTACTTCTGGACAAAAAATGTAGTGTCTTTGCTTTGTCCAGAAAACACCATGGTTCCATTGACCACCTTCTTTTATAATAATACCTTTGCCTTCTTTGGCTACCAATATTTAAATCAAATTGGCAAATTATGCCACTGAGGACACTGAAAAAAATGCAGACAAGGACTCTGTTTCACCAGGGCAATAATCCCAGGGGAAGCTTCCAGTTCAGGCAAATTCATGAGCTGGAACTCTCTCCCGGTTATGTTACCTTCAAATCAGAAATGATCCTGTCTTTGTAGCAACATCTACATTTATCCTGACAGCCCGGCAAAATTGCTTGAATACTTACTATGTACAAAGTGTAGGCATCATTGCCATACATGCAGCAATACGAAAGAAACAAATATAGACCAGGCACGGTGGCTCACGCCTGTAATCCCAGCACTTTGGGAGGCCAAGCAGTTGTATCACCTGAGGTCAGGAGTTTGAGATTAGCCTGGCCAACATGGCAAAACCCCGTTTCCACTAAAAATACCAAAAAAAATTAGCCAGGTGTTGTGGCACATGCCTGTAATCCCAGCTACTCGGGAGGCTGAGGCAGGAGAATCACTGGAACCCAGGAGTCGGAGGTTGCGGTGAGCTGAGATCGCGCCACGGCACTCCAGCCTGGGTGACAGTGCGAGACTCTGTCTCAAAAAAAAAGAAAAGAAAAGAAAAGAAAAGAAAAAAACAAATATAGAAACACCATCTATCTGGCATAAGCAGGGAAAGAAGTGCACCAAAAAAAGATAATTTGCCAAGGAACCAAAGCTTATGACTTTGAGCACCGGAATCCAACCAATTCCACATCCCCACTGTTACCACCTGGGCCACCATCCCTTACCTGCAGAGCTGTAAAATCTCCCAACAGCTCTCCTCCACCCATGCATTCTTTGGGAGGCTAGAGAGGATTTGGGTCAGATGATGTCACTCCTCTTGTTAAGACTGTCCAATGGTGCTCCAGTTCTCTCCATGTACAGTCTGGCAGACCAGGGATAAAGCCAAAGGTCCACCATGTCCTGCTATGGTATCCTAGCCCCTGGTCATGCCAATGGTGGGTGTGAAAAACCAAGCTGCTTCCCAACTTACGCAGCCAAAAAGCCCCAAAGCTCAGTGGTTGGGTTTCTCTCCAAGAATCCCACTCTGTTCTTGCTAGATTTCTGCTCTCTATTCTAGACTGCAATGGGCCATGGAGGACCCACACTCCTGCTCCCATTTCCATGAGTTTACTCCCAGTGAGGGCTCCTCTAGCAGCTTGGTGGTGGGTAAAAATGGGGCCCATGTGCTTTTATATAGAACAGTGCTTATCATTTTTTAGCTAAGGCATATAGAGATTTTGTGATCACCCTGTGTATCTCTAAATATATCCACATAAGGCAGAAATTAGAGTCTACCTGACAACTATGGTGGACATTGGAGGCTCTTTCGTGTTTCTCTTCAACAAGTGACATTTCTTCCACCCGTCAGTTACATTGTTGATGATTTTTCTTTTCCACGGGGGCATTCTGTTCGGCTTTGGGGTCAGATTAATCTCTTTTGGCAACTGATGTCTTGCTAAGATTCTTTCTAAGCCAGAGAGTTCAGGATTCTCACCTGGTAATAGAATAAGCATTAATACATTCAATGTTCCTCTCCATCTTTGCATAGCAAGAGTAACAAGGCACTGATTTGAGAAAACATATATATGCAGCTTAATAATTCCTATTGGGCCGGGTACGGTGGCTCACGCCTGTAATCCCAGCACTTTGGGAGGCTGAGGCGGGAGGATCACAAGGTCAGGATATCGAGACCATCCTGGCTAACATGGTGAAACCCCGTCTCTACTAAAAATACAAAAAATTAGCCAGGCATGGTGGCGGGCACCTGTAGTCCCAGCTACTCAGGAGGCTGAGGCAGGAGAATGGTGTGAACCCGAGAGGGAGAGCCTGCAGTGAGCCAAGATCGTGCCATCGCACTCCAACCTGGGTGACAGTGCGAGACTCCATCTCAAAATAATAATAATAATAATTCCTATTTAGCTTTGTCATTCCTTTATTCCAACAATATTACTGAGCACCATTCAGATCTTAGCCTGGTCCTAGACATCTAGCAGATACATTGTAAGTAAATAAAAGAATGAACAAGGCCGGGTGCGGTGGCTCACACCTCCCAAAATTTGGGAGGCCGAGGTGGGCGGATCATGAGGTCAGGAGATCAAGACCGTCCTGGCTAACACGGTGAAACCCCGTCTCTACTAAAAATACAATAAATTAGCCGGGCATGGTGGCGGGGGCCTGTAGTCCCAGCTACTCGGGAGGCTGAGGCAGGAGAATGGCGTGAACCCAGGAGGCGGAGCTTGCAGTGAGCCGAGATCGCGCCACTGCACTCCAGCCTGGGCGACAGTGAGACTCTGTCTCAAAAAAAAAAAAAAAAGAATGAGCAAACAAGCAGGCATGCTGGGACCACACAAATAGAGTTGGTTATGTGTGCATGATTCTCAAACTAATGGCAAGTTACCATACAATTATTATTATTGTGATTCTCATTTTCCCTTTAATTGCATACTTAATTGGAGATGCACATTTTGAAACTTCCCAGAAGAAATAGGGTGAATGTTAACATTATTGTCAGGCCGCACAACTTGGGGCCCCGTTTTATTGATGATTTTGTCTGAGCAAGGATTACAACATAGGACTGAACTTCCAGCATGCTTTGTCAGTTAGAATGTGGGAGTGTCACTTACTGTTCTTTTTGATTCCACAAAATTCATTTCTGGCCAGAAATGAACTGTTTTTTCTCGCTCTGTTATAAGCATGTCTATTTTCAGCTATGCCGGTGGGAAATGCCTTCCTTCTTTTGGGTGTTCCAATAACTGAGACTTGAGGTTTGGACTGTTGCGGCCTACTGTAGGAGCTCTGGATGGCCAGCGGTACAGCTACAATTGCATGGTAGAGCCACTTGGAGAAGATGAAGTCAATACCAGAGGGGCTTAGATCCTATGTTATCAGAAATGGAATGGCATCCCTCCCTGGTCAGCCAGCACCTCCATGAGAGCTCCAGGATGGAGTGCAGTGGTGCAATCATAGCTCACTCCAGCCTCGACCTCCTGGGCTCAAGCGATCCTCTGACCTCAGCCTCCTCAGCAGCTGGGACTACAGGCATGCACCACTACACCCGGCTAATTTTTGTTATTTTTTGCAGAGATGAGCGTCTTACTTTGTTGCCTAGGCTGATCTCATTCATAGCCTCAAGTGATCCTCCTGCCTCAGCCTCCCAAAGTTAACTTTATATTTAAAATATAAAATAAAAACCTGGGTTTTTTTAAAAAAAATATGTTTAGTTCTTTTTCTTTCTTTCTTCATGTAATCATTTCTGGGTAACCAATATAGTGTAATACAGGCAAAGCATCTTGCAGGTGAAGAGGGGATTGACAGGAAAAGAACAAAACCTATTTTTAAGGTCAAAAGAAATTTCTTCTAGAAGGAAGGCTTTAGACCCAGCAGCAGCAAGACAGCAGTATCTATTTTTAAATCCTTGGTCTGACGGATGAAAGTCAGAGCAATAGGGTCATGTCTTCAGGATGCATATGCAAGGAAATCACTATATGTTTGGAAATGGCATCTTGGCAACGGAGCACATTTTTAGTGATGAATTTAAGACCTCAAAGGCCAATGTGCTCCCAGTGACTGGACTCAGCCTGAGGCCAGTTCCCTGAAGGCACAAACTCAGAACTCTGAGGAGTCATTTCTTACCCCTTAATGCTGTTCACCTCAGCTGCATGAACCTCCTTAAACTGGCTTCCAACCATAGCAAAGAATCACTGCACCCAAATACCTCTGAAACAAAGGCACCCCACTGCTGCTTGGCAGTTGTACATGGCAGGAATTACCGGCTGCTAAATGTGTACCGACGTCTATCACCGTCTACACTGGGAGGCTACGGAGACAAAATCTAAATCAACATAGAATGAGAATGTCTCTAGAAAATCAAAACTCATTTCTCCAACTTCACATAATTACTGCATTTTCAGTGTTAATGTTGCATTTTAATTACAAAAGTAAAAGGTTTCCATTGGAATAATTAAAATGAAACAACTCAGCGAAGTCTACATAGCAAAAAGGGAAAGTTTTGCTTCATTTTCCCTCTTCAAGCTCTATCCTTTCTCCAGATGTAGCCACCGTCCTGAATTTCCTAAGTCTCCTTCAAAACTCTTTTCTATGCATTTATATACACATATATATGTACAAATGTATAGTTTTCTTTTGGCATACATGGATCCATATTGTGTATCTTCCTTTGCAGCTTATTAAAACTCTATAATCTGTATTGTAGACATGTTAATGTCAACTTTCTTTTTAATAGTATTCCACTATGTGGATATATGCCTTCGTTTAATTCTTCTGCTACTGAATGTCATAGGTTGTTTAAATTTTTGACTATTATAAACAATGCTTCAGTGCACGGCCATATTTATCCATCTTTGGGCTCAGGTACAAGTTGTTTCTGTAGGATAATAACTAGAAGTGGAATTGCTAAGTTGAAGGACATATACATGTAACAGGATGTGAAAATATACATTTTTCTGTTGTCTTGTTTTGTCCAAGGCCGCAAGTCTGAGAAAACTCGAGTAGGTGCCGGACACCTATGCGTGCACAGCATCCCTATCAATATGTGAAAAAACGGAGGATTCATTCAGGATTCCTTAAGGCACTTGAGGATTTCTTTAGGCACAGAGTTGGGGCAGTGCTGTGTACTATGTCATTCCCCTTCCCACCCTTGGCTTTAAGGGGACTTTAGAGAAGTACCTGAGGAATGGGACTATGTCTCCTGACACTGGTGCTCAGTCTCCTAGGGCTGTCCTAACAGTGCCACAAAGTGGGTCACTTGAAACAACAAATTTATTGTCTCACGATTCAGGAGGCTGGAAGTCAGATATCAAGATGTCAGCAAGGCCACGCTGAAACCTTGAGGGGAGAATCTTTCTTTGTCTCTTCCTAGTTTCTGGTGTTTGCCTGCAATCCTTGGTATTCCTTGCCTATGGATGCATCACTCCCATCTCTGTCTCTACTGTCACAAGGCCATCGGCTCCTGCGTGTCTCTTTCTTCTTATAAGGTCACCAGTCATACTGGATGAAGAACTCTCTCTACACATATTACGTTCACCTAAGTTTAATTAATTACATCTGCACCCTGTAAAGATCCTATTTCCAAATCTAGTCACATTCTGGGGTGCTGGGAGTTAGGACTTCAATATATCTTGTTGAGGGACAATATATGTTGTTGAGGCAAAATCACCAATATATAGCCATATATTTTGTTGAGCCTGTAACACCTTGAAACACAATGGTGAGTGGCTGGGATCACAGCTGCCTGTGGCCACAGAGAAAAGAGGGCAGTGTTGGAAGCCAACTGTGCTTTTATCAACGGGGTGAAGGTATGGGGAGCAAGGGCACAGATTTTCTTTGAGCTAAATGTAAACCCCAGCCGGACTTGGCGGTTCATGCCTGTAATCCCAGCACTTTGGGAAGCCGAGGTGGGTGGACCACTTGAGGTCAGGAGTTTGAGAGCAGCCTGGCCAAAATGGCAAAACCCTGTCTCTACTACAATACAAAAATTAGCCAGGTGTGGTGGCGCGTGCCTGTAATCCCAGCTACTCGGGAGGCTGACGCAGGAGAATCACTTGAACCCGGGAGGTGGAGGTTGCAGTGAGCCGAGATCGCACCACTGCACTCCAGCCTGGGCGACAGATTGAGACTCTGTCTCAAAAATAAATAAATAAATAAATAAGTAAATAAATATGTAAATCCCTTGGAAAATACAACTGACCCTTGAATAACATGGAGGTTAGGGGCACTGACCCCTGCTCAGTTGAAAATAAACACATAAGTTTCTTTTGTTAAAGAGTCTTGGCCAGGCTCGGTGGCTCATGCCTGTAATCCCAGCACTTTGGGAGGCCAAGGCAGGTGGATCACAAGGTCAAGAGATCGAGACCATTCTGGCCAACATTGTGAAACCCTGTCTCTACTAAAAATACAAAAAGCTGAGCGTGTTGGTGCATGCCTATAATCCCAGCTATTTGGGAGGCTGAGACAGGAGAATCGCTTGAACGCGGGAGTGGAGGTTGCAGTGAGCGGAGATCACGCCATTGCACTCCAGCCTGGGCAACAAGTGCAAAACTCTGTCGCAAAAAAAAAAAAAAAAAAAAAAAAGTCTTGCTATGTTGCCCAGGCTGGTCTCGAACTCCTGGGCTCAAGCAATCCTCCTGCCACAGTCTTCCAAGTAGTTGAGCATGGTAGTCTAGCACCTGTACCATGCCACTACACCCAGCTACTTTTTTGACTTTTGATTCACTCAAAACTTTTACTAATAGCCTACTGTTGGCCAGAAGCCTTACTGCTAACATAAATGGTTAACACATATTGTATATGTTATGTGTATTATATATCACATCCTTAGAGTAAAGTAAGCAAAAAAATGTTATTAAGAAAATCATGGCCGGGCACGATGGCTCATGCCTGTAATCCCAGCACTTTGGGAGGCCAAGGCAGGTGGATTGCTTGAGGTCAGGAGTTCAAGAATAACTGACCAACATGGTGAAACCCCATCTCTGCTAAAACTACAAAAATTAGCCGGGTGTGGTAGCGGGTGCCTGTAATCCCAACTACTCGGGAGGCTGAGATGGAGAATCACTTGCAACTGGGAGGTGCAGGTTGCAGTGAGCGGAGATAGCACCACTGCACTCCAGCCTGGAAGACAGAGTGAGACTCTGTCTCAAAAAAATAAAAAGAAAATCATAAGAAAGAGAAATACATTGACAGCACTGTATTTATCAACACTATAAGTTTACACCATCTGTTTACAAGAAAAATCGTCTGTCTGAAGTGGCAGGCAACTATTCAATGTACAGTACATATCAAGCAACTCAACTTTTTCTTGTAACATCATGACTTTTCTCTGCTTCTTGGGAGTACTTCTAGCATCACTAATGGCACTTTTTGTGGGTCCCATAGTGTTATTCAAGTTTTATGGTATTGCACTAAACACAAAAAATACATGAGAACTGTGAAATCACTTTACTGTGAAATGCAATTTACTAGAGACATGAGCTGCTCCCACAGAGATGATTAGCATCACATGGCATTTTAAGTGGATATTCACACCACTTGAGCTCACAGCAAGAGCAACGGGAGGTGGCTATGAAATTACTACAGCACTACAGTATTACTACAGTTAATTTTCTACAGTTATGATTTAATACTGCATAATTTTTTTTTTTTTTTTGAGGTGGAGTTTTGCTTTTGTTGCCCAAGCTGGAGTGCAATGGCATGATCTCAGTTCACTGCAGTCTCTGACTCCCGTGTTCAAAAGATTCTCCTGCCTCAGCCTACTGAGTAGCTGGGATTACAGATGCCGGCCACCACGTCTGGCTACTTTTTGTATTTTTAGTACAGACGGGGTTTCAACATGTTGGCCAGGCTGGTCTTGAACTCCTGACCTCAGGTGATCTACCTCCTCGTACTCCCAAAGTGCTGGGATTACAGGTGTGAGCCACCACTCTCGGCCTAATACTGCATCTTTATTCTCATTTACATTTCCCTTGACTGTGAATGGCACCAAGTACAGTCTGTAAGTGTTTCTGTGTGTAAGTTTTTATAAATTTTAACTTTTCCTAATAGGTTTGTGTACATTTTATGGTACTAAATGATAAAGTAGACTAGTATCTACATATATTCTATGCATTCACAACATCTCTTTTAATTTTTCTTGAGTCCCACTTTGTCGCCCAGGCTGGAGTGCAGTGGCACAATCTCAGCTCGCTGCAACCTCCAACTCCCAGGTTCAAGCAATTCTCCTGCCTCAGTCTCCCAAGTAGCTGGGATTACAGGCATGTACCACCACACCGCCTAATTTTGTATTTTCAGTAAAGACAGGGTTTCACCATGTTGGTCAGACTGGTCTCGAATGCCTTACCTCAAATCATCCGCCCGCCTCAGCCTCCCAAAGTGCTGGAATTACAGGCATGAGCCACCACGCCCACTACCCTTTTTCTTAATTTTTTGTTATTTCTGGACTATATGATTGGTCTACAAATTTTTTCAAATTGTGGCACATCTTCAAAAAAATTTCCAATATATTTACTGAAAAAAATCCACCTATTGTTGCCGGATCAAGAGGACCAGAGAGAGACCTTGGGGTGTATACAGGATATCTTTATTATTGAGTGCACTTAGACCCAACAGAGTTAACGTCCAAAGACTGGGCGCAGAACAAAGACAGTACTTGCCTTTTATACATACTTCATAAAAGGGGGTAGGCTAGCTTGAAGCAAGCGTATACTGGCGTGAAAGCAGGGATACAGAGGCAGGATAAAGACAGTTAATTAAGTTGTAACAGGTTCATAACTCAGGATTACACATGACCATCGCTAAGCAACCCAGATGTCTGTTATCTAGACTTTGCCCAGGTACGGGCTTATCCTATAACCTTCATTACGGCGCCCAGGTGGCCATAACTCAGGCCTGTTCAGAGGCTCATGACCTTCACTCTACTGCTTAGATAAAACAGAATACTTTTAAGTTACCAGTTACAGAGAACAGAAATCTATAAACTGAATAAAAGGAAAATTGGTTTTTCTTCTCGCTATGTTGAGGGAGTGCTGGAAGAGTTTCCAGAGCACAGTAGATAGTATTATTAAGACTTTTTCTGTGTCTGGGCTGTGCCTGTCGCTGCCTCTGGGACAAGTCAGCCTAATCCAGGAAAGCTTATTTCTTTAATTGGTTTTATTTTTCTTTAATTTTCTGCCACACTACAAGTGGACCTGCACAGTTCAAGTAAGTTGTTCAAGGGTCAGCTGTAGTCATTTGGAGTCTGCTTGAATATAGGAGGATCTCAGGAGCATTTCCGTCAAAAGATTATGCAATTTCTATTGAAACTGGATGGAAGTGAACCTTACAAAAGCTGGGTAGGGTGGTGCTATGGTCTGAATGTTTATGTCTCTCAAAATTCATGTTAAATCCTAGCCCCCAAGGTGATGGCATTACGTGGTGGGGGTGTGTCTTTAAGAAGTGATCAGGTCACGGGAGCAGTGCCTTATAAACTAGGCGTGAGAGAGATGCCCCCCACCCCCCCTTCCTGTGTTCAAAATTGGTGGGTTCTTGGTCTCACTGACTTCAAGAATGAAGCTGCAGACTCTCACAGTCAGTGTTACAGTTCTTAAAGGCAGCGCGTCCAGAGTTTGTGCCTTCTGATGTTCGGATGTGTTCGTACTTTCTTCCTTCTGGGGGGTTCACGGTCTCGCGGACTCAGGAGTGAAACTGTAGATCTTCACGGTGAGTGTTCTAAGCTCTTAAGGTGGCATATCCAGAGTTGTTTGTTCCTCTGGTGGGTTTCTGGCCTCAGTGGCTTCAAGAATGCAGCAGCAGACCCTCGCGGCCAGTGTTACAGCTCATAAAGGGACTGCAAACCCAAAGAGCAAGCAGCAGCAAGATTTACTGCAAAGAGTGAAAGAACAAAGCTTCCATAGCGTGCAAAAGGACCCCAGCAAGTTGCCATAGCTGGCTCGGGCCGCCTGCTTTTATTCTCTTATCTGGCCCCACCCACATCCTGCTAATTGGTCCATTTTACAGAGAGCCAATTGGTCTGTTGTACAGAGAACTGATTGGTCCGTTTTGACAAGGTGCTGATTGGTGCATTTACAATCCCTGAGCGAGACACAAAAGTTCTCTACCTCCCCACTAGATTAACTAGATACAGAGTGTCAACTGGTGTATTTACAAACCCTGAGCTAGACACAGAGTGCTGATTGGTGCATTTACAAACCTTGAGCTAGATACAGAGTGCCAATTGATGCATTCACAATCCCTTAGCTAGACATAAAGGTTCTCCAAGTCCCCACCAGATTAACTAGACACAGAGTGCCGATTGGTGCATTCACAAACCCTGAGCTAGACACAGGGTGCTGATTGGTGTGTTTACAAACCTTGAGCTAGATACAGAGTGCTGATTGGTGTATTTACAATCACTTAGCTAGACATATTCTCCAAGTCCCCACCAGACTCAGAAGCCCAGCTGGCTTCACCCAGTGGATCCCATACCGGGGCCGCAGGTGGCGCTGCCTGCCAGTCCCAAGCCATGTGCCCACACTCCTCAGCCCTTGGGTGATCGATGGGACTGGGTGCCGTGGAGCAGGGGGCAGCAATGGTTGGAGAGTCTCCGGCTGCACAGGAGCCCACGGGGAGGCTCAGGCACGGCGGGCTGCAGGTCCCGAGCCCTGCCCTGCAGGGAGGCAGCTAAGGCCCCGGGAGAAATCGAGCACAGCAGCTGCTGGCCCAGGTGCTAAGCTCCTCACTGCCCGGGGCGGCGGGGCCGGCCTGCAGCTCCCAGTGCAGGGCCTGCCGAGCCCACGCCCACCCGGAACTGGCGCTGGCCCACAAGCGCCGCGGGCAGCCCGGGTTCCCACCCGCGCCTCTCCCTCCACACCTTCCCGCAAGCTGAGGGAAGCAGCTCCAGCCTTGGCCAGCCCAGAAAGGGGCTCCCACAGTGCAGCGGCAGGCTGAAGGGCTCGTCAAGCGTGGCCAGAGTGGGCGCCAAGGCCGAGGAAGCGCCCAGAGCGAGAGAGGGCTGCAAGGGCTACCAGCATGCTGTCACCTCTCACTTCCACTATGTGAGGACACAGCAAGAAGGTGCCATCTATGAACCAGAAAGTTTTCTCCAGACATGGTATCTACCTTGATTTTAAACTTCCCAGCCTCCAGAACTATGAGAAATAAATTTTTCTGTTTATAAGCTACCCAGTCTATAGTATTTGTTGTTTTTGTTTTTTTGAGATGGAGTCTCACTCTTGTCGCCCAGGCTGGAGTGTAATGGCACAATCTTGGCTCACTGCAACCTCCACTTCCGAGGTTCAAGCGATTCTCCTGCCTCAGCCTCCCAAGTAGCTGGGATTACAGGCACCCATCACCACGCCCGGCTGATTTTTGTATTTTTAGTAGAGATGGGGTGTCACCATGTTGGCCAGGCTGGTCTCGAACTCCTGACCTCAGATCCACCCGCTTCAGCCTCCCAAAGTGCTGGGATTACAGGCGCGAGCCACTGTGCCCGGCCTCAGTCTATGGTATTTTGTTATAGCAGCCCAAACAGACTAAGGCACCTGAAGAGAAGAAATCTCAGCAGGAGGCTGTGAAAACTGTCAGCCTGGGAAATAGCCAAAGAACCCACACAAACACCCCCAGGAGACAGTCTGCCCTTTTTTTTTTTTTTTTTTTTGGAGACAGAGTCTCACTCTGTTGCCAGGCTGGAGTACAGTGGTGCGATCTCGGCTCAGTGCAACCTCCACCTCCTGGGTTCAAAGGATTCTCCCGCCTCAACCTCCTGAATAGCTGAAATTACAGGCACCCGCCATCATGCCCAGCTACTTTTTGTAAACATGGGGTTTCACCATGTTGGTCAGGCTGGTCTTGAACTCCTGACTTCAGGTGATCCACCCGTCTTGGCCTCCCAAAGTGCTGGGATTACAGGCGTGAGCCCACCGCGCCTGGCTTCGGAATTGCATCTTAATCTCTGTGGCGGCTGCTATTTTGTTTTCTAAGTTCATGAGCACAGGTGGCTGCCTCTATCTTTCTCCTCCACTTAAGCAGGAACAATTCAGGAGGCAGACTCCACCCAATGCTGCAAATCGGCCCTATTATCATTGACCCTGACAGAATTTCAGGAGTGTCAGGCCACTCCATACTGCAAACAGTACAGGTTGCTTATAATCGCCAGGAGGAAAGAAAATATCCAGCTTCTTCCTGGTGCAATCATGGCCATAGGAGGAAGGAATCATAGGAAACAGAGCAAAGGAACAAAGTTCAAAACCTGACTTTCCACTTGGAAGTTCTCTCACTAATCTTAAAATCAAATATAAAGCTTAAATTGTAAATTTAGCGGCATTTCCCTCTCAGTACCCTTTCCATATTCCCACAGGTAAGCTTTGCCTAAAGAAGAGAGTCAGGCCTGGCCGTGTGTGGTGGCTCACGCCTGTAATCCCGCACTTTGGGAGGCCGAGGCGGGCATATCATGAGGTCAGGAGATCGAGACCATCCTGGCTAACACAGTGAAACCCCATCTCTACTAAAAATACAAACAAATTAGCCGGGTGTGGTGGCGGGCGCCTGTAGTCCCAGCTACTGGGGAGGCTGAGGCAGGAGAATGGCATGAAACCGGGAGGCGGGGCTTGCAGTGAGCTGAGATCGCACCACTGCACTCCGGCCTGGGCGACAGAGCCAGACTTCATCTCAAAAAAAAAAAAAAAAGAAGAGGGTCACGCCTAACTTGGCTCACAAAAGACTATTTATGCAAAAGAACATGAAGAAGCAATGGATAATCAGCACATGAGTAAATTCCAGAATAAGCCCATGGATGGGGACATGTGTCTAGAGGACCGATCACACCTACAACGTACAGAGCAAGTTCTGGCCGGGTGCAGGGGATCCCACCTCGAATTCCAGCACTTTGGAGACAAAGGCGGGCAAAGGCTTGAGCTTGGGAGTTCGAGACCAGCCCAGGCAACATGGGGATGTGGGGAGCGGGGGGGGTGCAGCTCTACAAAAAATTAAAAAATTAGACATTGTGGTGGCAATGCACCTGTAGTCCCAGCTACTGGGGAGGTCGAGGTGGGAGGATCGCATGAGCCCAGGAGTTTGAAGCTGTGGTGAGCCACGATTATTGCACTCCTGCACTCCAGCCTGGGGGATAAAGCGAGAGCCTCGTCTCAAAAAATAATAAAAATACACTAAGTAAAATAAAGAGTAAAAGTTCTTCCTTGCGTCTTAAAGTAGAGGCAGTTTGTATCAAGATAAAGCATATGCTTGCTGAAAAGAACTCATGCCCACCCTCGGCCCACATACATTTTTTCTTGTCCTCTTCACTCTTGCGGGAATAAAGCGTCTCCATCAGGTGATTCGGAAGCAGCTCGTGGAGGTTAGACAGCATCTCAAAGGGGCGACACAAAACTTCTGGCTGGGCACAGTTTTCCGGCTTCTTACACTTGTCAAGGAGTGAAAATTTTATCACGCTGGAGCTGCTGCTGGCTGTTCTCGTGATGCTGGTTGTATCACAGAGAAGAACAAACTGAGAACATGAGGAGTGGATGGGGTGTGCAGTTGTTCTGGCAAGCTTTCCTCCATCTCCAAGATGAAGTGGAACCAGCTTTCTGATCTCTTATTGCCTGGCATTCTGAGAGTCACAATGGCCCAGGTATTGGTCCGGAACCCTGCGTGTTCATCCTGCATTTTCAAAGCAGAGAAAACCAGCCCATTGAAAATATCCTGCCAAGTCATTTGGGGATTTGTGGCAGAAACTCCAGTCTTGCGTCTGGACATGGACCATTTCTGGGGAAAACTGAGAGCTTTGCTAAAAGGAAGAGGGGAAAGCGGGGGCGCGCGTATCCAGTGGTATTTTCCCATCTGGTACTTTGTAGAAGCCTTGCTCCCAGTATGTACCTAATTAAGGCTCCACAGACCTACGAGGCCCCAAGAGAGAGTGGTTACATCAGTGCAGTCCTCAGCAGAACTGAGGAAAGAGCTTCATCGTCCAAAACTGAGGAAATGCCCAGATTAACACAGGTAAGAAGCCAAACTAGTTACTCCTTATGTTCTTATCCAAACTAATACCAAGAAAACAAAGTAAACAAATGCTCAACCGGAGCCTTCCCGGTAAGAAGCCATTCTTCATTGCAGACCAAAAAGCAGAAAACAATAGAAGTATTAAATAATCTTAAATCACCACACTTGATAGCACAGTCCAGAGCAAGACAGAAGCTGCCAAGAACTAGTATCAGATTTGGAACAAAAATGCAAATAATAGAGTTTGTTACAGCTACTTTTAGATTTCAGCATGCTCTACCAGGAGCCAGGTTCCCCATAATTGCTCTACTCTTCATGAACCACCTAGAGAGCCACACTGCAGGCTGGTGAGAAGCAGAGAAGGCGTGTGAGCCTAGTATGCTATGGCAAATCTGGGAGCGTGGGCTAGCTTTTCACCAACCTTAAAAACCTTTGGCTAAGACTATTAAAGCATCATGATTATACCATATGATACATTAGTGGCCAGAGTGGCAGATATAAAATTCCATTCATATATGCATATATATAGATAGATGGATTTTTTTTTTTTTTTTTTTTTTTTTGAGACAGAGTTTTGCTCTTGTTGCCCAGGCAGGAGTGTAATGGCGTGATCTCGGCTCACTGCAACCTCTGCCTCCCTAGTTCAAGCGATTCTCCTGCCTTGGCCTCCTGAGTAGCTGGGAGTACAGGCATGCGCCACCATGCCCAGCTAATTTTGTATTTTTAGTAGAGACAAAGTTTCTCCATGTTGGTCAGGCTGGTCTTGAACTCCTGACCTCAGGTGAGCCACCCACCTCGGCCTCCCAAAGTGCTGGGTTTACAGGTGTGAGCCACCTCGCCTAGCTTTCTTTCTTTTCTCTTTTTTCCTTTTTTCCCTTCCTTCCCTTCCTTCCTTTTTTCTTTCTTTTTGAGACAGAATTTTGCTCTGTGGCCCAGGCTGCAGTGCAGCTCACTGTAGCCTCGACCTCCTGGGCTCAAGCAATCCTCCCACCTCAGCATCACAAGTAGCTGAGTCTATAGGTGTGCATCACTACGCCCAGCTAATTTTTGTTATTTTTCTTTTGTAGAGACAGGGTCTCGCTATGTTACCCTGGCTGGTCTCAAACTCCTGACCTCAAGCAATCCTCTTGCCTCGGCCTCCCAGACTGCTGTGATTACAAGCGCAAGCCACTATGTCTGGCCTATTCCTTTTCTTAACTTTCAACTTGCAAACTCAAAAAGTAAAACTTAAAAAAAAATACTTTAAATGCAAGTACATATTTAAAATATGTTATATAACTAACAAGAACCACTTGAATTCAATGTGATTCTCATAATTTTACAGGTGTTTTTGGTGGGGAGAAGGGGGTAGAATATTCTGGCAGCCGGAAGACATATCCCCAGCTTCTTTCTTCCAGGCAAAGTTGAGTGCATTCCTCTAAACCTTCATTTATATAAATAGTAAAGAACAAACCATGTTTTAAGCCATTCAACATGCCAAGGAAGTGATCTACTAAAATGTAATTCTTTATACTTCATGTAAATTGACTCATATGTTCTTAGTCATTGCTCTCAATAGCAACTGATGAATGTTTATAGTTATCTGATGCATGCTGACTTTGGTTGAAATCTGAAGTAGGTCACAATTATTAAATTTTGTTTTTAAATAAACTATCAGATGGATATATATTTTTACATATTTTATATATATATATATATTTTTTTTTACAATGAATAACACTTCTAGGAATCAATCTCATTCATTTTCTCTAATTATAGTGTAATTAAAGAACACTGTTTAGGATGGGAAAGACCCGTCATGAATGACGCCTGGCAAATATTCTGCTGCTAACCAGCTGTGTGATCTTGATCTGAGCCAACCAGGTCTCAGCCCATGGTGCTAATATTCTTGGATGGAACAAATGCTTTCATTGTGTATTTTGTTTTGTATTCCTCTGATTTCCAATTCTATTATTCAGTGTATAATATATTTACCTTTTCAAAACTGGGCTTCTAACATATTATTTTCTCGCAAGTTTTTTCTTGTTGTGATGAGAGCTGCTATGCCGGGCAGCAGCCCACGTAGGTGCCAGCAGTGTATTATTAACTAAAATTGATCCCGCAGCGCAGCAGCTGCATGACTCTGGGTTGTTTTTCTAGTTAGGCTGATCTTTTATTCATGACTTTTAGGTAAATGCAATTCCTTTTTCTGTTCCTAAGAGGGTTGCTGTGTCTCCTGAATACCTTCTTCTTCCCCCTCGCCATGGTGGGTGTGACAAGATCAGCTGGCTTCCAGAAGGCAAGGTGTTCAGTAATGTTCACAGAGAGAAGATTAGCTCCAAGTTTTTTAAGGAAAGCATTCTAAAGAAAGTGTTCTGTTCACAACAAATGAGGTGGGAGGGGTCTGACGACCAGAAAGGGACTTCAAGTTACACCTTTCCTGGCACCAGAAAGTAAGTTCTGACACTGAGACTTTAACCAAAATTTAAAGTGAATTTGTGATATAAGGCTAGGAAAATAGAGTTACAGAGTATAGGCATCTGAAAAACAGAAAGGCTTATGAAGCAATTCAAATTGCAGAAATCAAGTCTTAAATCAAAATAAAGGAGAAAATATATGATTGAGAATGTATTCAAAAGCACTAGCTGCAACATACGCAGATGTGAAATTCAGTGATTGATGTGTTTATTTTGCTTCCTTTTGGAAATATGTTAATATACATCACTATCACACGTTCCAGGAATAGTTTTTAAACAATATTTCTTATCTATTTGCAACAAAACAATGGCCTCCCAAATAGGACATTGCTATGGGAGCAGAGTGTTAAAGGTTAATTTTTAAAACTTCAAATTAGAAATATTTGCATATATATTTCTTAAAAAGGAATTATACAAACACAAGAAAGTATATTTAAGATGAATGCTCATAGAATAGAGTTCTAAATCAGGATAAATTAGCCACTACTGAAAGACAAAGCAGTTCTCAAAAAGGAAAAACAAAAATAAGACCAGATCGCTAAACCATATGCTAAATACAGATTGCCCATAATTGAAATGAAATGTTTCCCACTGACTTAGCATCTTATTTGAGAACAAAAATGCATATTATTATTTAGAAAATAGTGTCCTAACTTTCAGAAAATGTTACATAATTATATTGAACAAGATTCTGCTGTAGGCTGGGGCACAGTGGCTCACAGCTGTAATCCTAGCACTCTGAGAGGCCGACACGGGTGGACCACCTGAGGTCAGGAGTTTGAGACCAGCCTGACCAATATGGTGAAACCTCGTCTCTACTATAAATACAAAAAAATTAGCCAGGCGTGGTGGCATGCGCCTGTAGTCCCAGCAACTTGGGAGACTGAGACAGGAGAAGTACTTGAACCTGGGAGACAGAGGTTGCAGTGAGCTGAGAATGTGCCATTGCACTCCACCCTGGGCAACAGAGTGGGACTCTGTCTCAAAAAAAAAAAAGAAAAGAAAAGAAAAGAAAGAAACAAAAAGATTCTGCTGTACGTGACCAGCCATGACCTTGGCAATTCTAAAGGGAAAAACAAAGGAAGATGAGGACAAATGCATGGGTAATATCAAAAGGTGAAAGATACTGAAGGAGGTAGACTGAAATAGAAGGCTTTTCCCTCCAGAATAATTAGAAACTAAGTAATGTTGCTACTGACATATCTTTGCATAATTCAGGACAATGAAAAGGAATGTTATCTCAAGGTGCTTTCCAAAGTAGTTACGTGGTAGTCAGTGTCATCGCCTTTGTTATAGGAGGAGAAACTGAGGTGGGCAGCAAGCTGTGCTTACTGGACTACTAAGTGACTGGCCCAAGGCTTGCCTTTGTTTCCTTAGCCTGCCTCCCTTGTAATTAACGTAAGAGCTTGCTAAATGCCTGAAATAGAGAGCATCTGCCTCATCCTACTGTGTTTATGAAACAATGGTTTCACTCAGGATCAGCTAAAGAGGTGCAGATTTAAAGTAAGGCAAGCTGAGGCTACCACTAAAATCTGAATCCTGGGCATGGCCATGAGATGGCTGGAGGTGTAGGGGCCAAGGGTTTGGCCCTCTGAAGATTTGCTGAAAAATCAAAATTAGCCAGGCGTGGTGGCCTGCACCTGTAGTCCCAGCAACTTGGGAGGCTGAGACAGGAGAAGTACTCAAGTACAAAAGGCAGAGTAATTGGGGAAAAGGCATACACGTTTATTTAGCATGTGTTTATACATGGGAGTGTACAGAATGAAAACTCAGAAATACAGGGGAGAGTTTCCATTTTTATGCTTAGGTTCAACAAAGTATGGACAGCTGTGTAGAAATACGATAGGACAAAAAAGGTCTGATCTAACGCTAACAGCCTGAGTGGGGGAACCCAGCAAGGCCTGTCTCTCTAGATTCTTCTTGGCCTCTCTGAGCAGCATTCCTTCCTTCTGGGTATGGGCCACTCTCTGGAATGGGGGTCAGATAATTTCTTTATGGCCAGTTTTTACACAGAAAGGCAAAGGGAAAATTGGAGTAATATTTTTAGGTTTTATGGCTGGCTTTGGGAAAAAAGCATTCTGATTTCTGTAACCTGCATTGGAGAAGAGGGATTCTAGTTTCTCAGGCTAGCCTCGGAGGGAGACTGGGACTGAGAGACAGGAGGGCAGAAGAAGGTCAGAGAAAAACGTGTTTCTGAGGCTATTTCCGAAGCCTTCATTTTGGGGTACTGTTTTCCGAGCCCCAACAGAAGGAAGGTGCATTTTCTTTGGCCTTGGGATTGATGTTGAGCTGGGTCTGAGCTGCTGTAGAAAATGACCCACTGTCCAACCTCCTACGCTGGGCCAGAGCCAGACCAGACCCAAGGGTTTGGAGAGGGCACAATTTCCAAGTTGTCGCTTTCATATTTCACATCTCCACAGCCGTGCACATTTAGCAATGAGGGAATGGCCAGCCATGATTTTGATGCTGATGTCAAAGCATTCAAAAGTCTCCAGAGAAAGGAAGACCAGTTGAGTGGGGGTGATAATATGAAAGGAACATTTTTAAGAATAAGTTCTGTTAAGAAAAAAAAAGAATCTTAGAGGATGTATTTATGGATGACAAATCTCACAAGGACTCTAAGGGATCAGGAATCAGTTTGAGTTCTGAAATAACAGAAAAAGGCATGAACAGAAACACAAAGCAAGGAAGAGGGGAAATGTGTAAGCCAGATATTTGGAATTTACACACACGTGTGCATGTGCACACACAAGCACACATAATTTGTCTCAAGAGCGGGGAACATTTCCCAGCTAGATATACATTTGTAGAAAGCATTAGCTGGAAATACATGTACCCCAATATTTACTCCCATTCGCAATTTTTCTCGTAATTGTAAGGTGGAAAAGGTTATATAATACATCTAAGGCTCAGGTTACTCAATTATAAAATAGGAATAACTAGGCTGAGCTCAGAGACTCATGCCTGTAATTCCAGCACTTTGGGAGGCTGAGGCCAGCAGATCACCTGAAGTCAGGAGTTCGAGACCAGCCTGGCCAACATGGCAAAACCCGTCTCTACTAAAAATACAAAAAATTAGCCGGGCGTGGTGGCTGGTGCCTGTAATCCCAGCTACTAGGGAACTAGGGAGGCTGAGGCAGGAGAATTGCTTGAACCTGGGAGGCAGAGGTTGCAGTGAGCCGAGATCACACGATTGCACTCTAGCCTGGGTGACAGAGCAAGACTCTGTCTCAAAAAAATAAATAAATAAAAATTAAAAATAAGAAATAAAATAGGAATAACTGGTGGTACCTGCTTCATTGGATTATCAGGCATATACATTGGTTAATCCATATAAAATGTTCAGCACTATGCCTGGCATATAGTCACCACACCATACATTTCAGAAAATACTATTTTTGCAATAATTAAATCAATTGAAACATTTATTGAGTGCCTTACCTACTACAGTACATGCCAGGCACTCTGTTAGATAGAATATGGGCAGATATCACCTTCAAGGTGTTGAAAAGAAAGTGATTGAGACGTTGTAAATGAATAATTACAATGTAACTGAGTAAGGGGCTGTAATTAAATCATTATAACGAAGCAAGGATCTTGGAGGAGACAGCAACTTTTGTTTTCTCTCCTTTTTTTTTTTTTGTATTTTTTCTAGTAATTACACTTCCTGAACAATCAGGAAAAATGACTTGTGAGTTAGAAGTGTAATGACTAGAATTTAGGCAGGTTAAAAAAGAAAAGGAGATAAAAAGGAGGTACTATTACAGGAAGAGTAACAATGATGTATGCCCTGGAGGAGAGTGTTTAGGAAAATTGTAAAATGTCCGATGTGCTTGACATGTAGTGGGCGCTGGGAAGGTGATGAGCAGATACCTAAGGGATGGCTGCAGAATTAGGGTTTCCTCCTTCCGGCATTAGGAGGCAGTTGAGCAGGTCTGTATTTTAGAGCAGCAGTATGGAAAACAGCCGAAGGAAGAGAGGGCCCTAGAAGGGAAACCTCCAAGGAGGCTGCAAGGAATGAGGCCTGCACAAATCTTGTTCGTTCACTTACATCGATTGTGCTTCTACCACTGTGCTTCTACTATGTGCCCAGCACAGTTTTAAAGGGTTGGGGATACAGAAATGAACTAGACAGACAAGGCCCCGGCCCACATGGAGTTTGATATTCTACTGGGGAGAGACAGACAATACAAAAACAAACAAGTAAACAGCAAGATTATGAGGAGTACAAAGAAGTAAATAACAACGGGGTGTCATGAAATAGAGTAAGGTAGGTGGAAGGTGGGAAGAGCTTCTTTAAAGGGAAGGTCTTTCTGAGGAGAAAATGGAAATGCAGAGGAAAGAGTCAGGAGTCAGGGATCAAAGAACCTGAGAAACCCCTGACATTGTTTTCAACATGTGGTATATAAGTGCATTTTTATGGGGAGATTCTCAGAGGGA
This sequence comes from Homo sapiens, assembly GCF_000001405.40. Classification (NCBI taxonomy): domain Eukaryota; kingdom Metazoa; phylum Chordata; class Mammalia; order Primates; family Hominidae; genus Homo; species Homo sapiens. The sequence goes on along the minus strand of NC_000006.12, from coordinate 4,080,113 downwards.
CATGGCCGTGATCTCATCCCCCCAAATGTTTAGTATTCATTTGCTGTACCTAAATATATAATTAATTTTGTTTTAAATTTTTCTCTATATCAAAAGGTGGGGGTGATGATAGCTATGCAGATATATCTAACTAGATAGAGAGAGATTCTTCCCCCACCCCTCCACTTATTTCATGAAGCTGTAATAGGAGATATGCATTTCGGGGTACAAAATTGGGCTGTGTGATTTACATGTATCCTCTACATGAAAAAAGAAAAAAAATCATCTTTTGTTTTTCCTATTGAAAGGCCGACGACGGACCTGAAACTGACCGGATGAGCTTGGTGTCAACAAGGATGCCTCTTCTTCTATGTTAATATATTGTACAAGCATAGATATAACTTCACATGTATCAATGCGTATATATTGTAGCTTAGTCTGGAGGACTACGTACCGGGCGGTGCTCCTGGCTTGATGTGAGCAGGCGGTGGGAATGGAGGGTGGAGGCGGGTGGGCCGGGCCCCGGGTCCCAGAGGCCCACTGGCCATGTCGCGGAGAGCTCAGCCTGGAGAGGCCCAGGGAAGGGCCTGGAGGCCTCGGGGAAGGCCTGGGGAGGGTCAAGGAAGCCCGAGGAGGCCCAGGAAGGCCGAAGAAGGTCCAGGACGCCTGGGGGAAAGTCCGAGAAGGCCCGAGAAGGCCCGGGAGGCTCAGGCTTTCCCGCGAGGCCGGGGGCGGCCCCTTCAGGCCAGGATGGCCGAGTGGGCTGCGCAGCCCCGCGGGGGAGGCCGGGCGGGGCGCAGGGACAGGGCCTGAGGCTTGTTGTCCTCCCCTGGCGGCCCCGTGCGTCCCGCGGGCCCGGCGGCCGGGTGACCCCCGAGAGGCTCCGCGCCTGGGCGGCCGGCGGCGACCCCGCGGCCCGCGAATACGCGTGGACCTTGTGGAACGCCGGGCCTCCCCGGGCGCCCCCGCTCTCTGGTAGTTGCCGGGAGACCCGGCCGGTGGGGAAGCCCGCGGAGCCGCAGCCCCGGCCCCGGAAGGTCTCTCTGGGCCCCGGGCCCGACTCCCACCCCTGCGCCGGCCCGCGGGCTTCGCAGGCCCTGCACTGCCGACCGGGCTGCGCTCAAGGCCGCCAGCCGCCCGCCGCCCTCTTTGTCCCCCCGCTGCAGGAAGGCCGCGGCAGAGGGGGCGCCCTCCAAGCCGTCAGCCACGCACGCGGAGGCGCTCGGGCCTCGGGGCGGCGCACCGGGAGAGCACGCCGGGGAGGACACGTGGGCCTTCGCGCGGTGGGTTGAGAGCCCCGGCCCCGGGGAATCCCGCAGCCCCCTCCTGCTACCCCTGGAACTGGGCTCCCCACCCAGTCCGGCCACAGCTCAGGAGGAAAAGGGGATTCCTCTTCACGGGGGCCTTGCGGCTCCCTTGAGACACGCGCCTTCAAGCACTCTGGCCCCTAAAGCTCCTGTCCCCCAACTCGCAGTCCCCAAGGCGTCCTTTGTCCCCAGGGCCGTCCTTCAGGTGCGGTGGCCTTTTCCAGGAGCTGGATGCCCTCCTTCTTGACACACACCCGGTGGCCCCAGGCAGCGCCACCTGCTCAGCAACCGCCTTCCTCCTGCATTCAGACCTAGTGTCTGGCATGCACACACTCGTGGACCAATAACCGGTGTTGGCTGAAAACCTACCTAAACTAAATCTCCTATTTCTTCATACACTTTTCTGTAGGAGACAATCAATTGTAAACGATTAGCAGATAGACCGATTACTGCGGTGGCTTTAATTTGTGATTCTTGGCCGGGTGCAGTGGATCACGCCTGTAATCCCAGCACTTTGGGAGACTGAGGCAGGTGGATCACGAGGTCAGGAGTTCAAGACCAGCCTGGCCAACATGGTGAAACCCCATCTCTACTAAAAATATAAAAATTAGCTGGGCGTAGTGGTGCTCGCCTGTAATCCCAGCTGCTCGGGAGGCTGAGGCAGGAGAATCGCTTGAACCCGGGAGGCGGAGGTTGCAGTGAACCGAGATCGCGCCACTGCACTCCAGTCTGGGCAACAGAGCGAGACTCTGTCTCAAAAAAAAAAAAAAAAAAAAAAGTGATTCTTTCCAGATAGCCATACCTTAATCCAGTGACTGTTTTGCTTGTTACCTTAGAGTTCTCTAATTCTTTTACCTTAAACGGCAGTGGGTTAAAACCCTTTAGGTACCTTGATTGATTGGTGCGGAAAATATTGTTTGGTCCTGGGGGCATTTTGTTGTCTCCGAAATATGCACGGGGTGCTTGCCTGGCCTAGTTGTAAGGGTTCAACCCTGCTTTCAAATGGAGCAATTGTTTTGAATGAATAAAAGGAGACTTTGTGCCCCTGTTTTCTAAGTTCCAGATAATTCACCATAGTTTGTTCCAATGTGTATTTCATCTTCTTAGCTGATATTTGCTTTCTCACCTCTGATCTCAATTTCCTAATCTTCTGTTCTGAGATCTGCCAGTTTGCTGTTGTCTGTGCTCCTTTTGAGTCAGGCTTGCCCCTTGCTTCTGGTTGGTTTCGTACTGTCACCCCCACCCTGCTCTCCTAGCCCCTCTCTTCTGCTTTCTAAGCATTCTCTTACCTCCTTTAGATGGGAAATCAAAACTCACACTTTCTTTTTTATAAATGTTGACCCTTACCCATAAATGTGCCTATCCCGCAATCTGTGTAGGATTTTAAGGAAACAGAGCAACAGCTACAACAAAATGGGGAGAAGAAATGAGAACTGTGCTAACAGCCTACGTGTGTCAAACATCTCTCAGGAGGTATGGCAGGCGCTGTTGAACTTGAGTGTTTGGGCAGCGGCTCCTGTTGCTAACACGTAACTCCCATGGAGTTTTCTTGTAGTGATGCCCTTGCTGCGTTTGCATCGTGGGCAGTTTATCCTGTGTTTTCCTTTTGGCACATTTGGAACAGCAAATGGAAATTTTCTATTTCTTTTAACAAAGGGAAAATTAGCCAGCTCTTCTCCAAATGTCAAACATTTCTAATTGCAATTTGGCTTTGTTAAAGGTGCTGCCTTGTTATCAACCAGGCAGTGCTCACTTCTTTTGTTTTCACACACACACCCTTTGTGAAAAATATTGGTAAGGCAGGTGGGATATCACAAAGCATAATCAAGTCCCAACTCTTAAGAAATTTGCAAACTGTCAGACTTCATGTTTAGTTAATGAGCATTCTTTACCAGTTGATCAATTTGGTTATGTTAATTTTTTGTTGTTTTGGTGTTTTTTGTTTGTTTGTTTTGGAGACGAGACTTAGTCTTCCTCTGTCTCCCAGGCTGGAGTGCTGTGGCACGATCTCAACTCACTATAACCCCCACCTCCCGGGTTCAAGCGATTCTCCTGCCTCAGCCTCCCGAGTAGCTGGGACTACAGGCATGTGCCACCACGCCCGGCTAATTTTTGTATTTTTAGTAGCGACATGTTGGCCAGGCTGGTCTTGAACTCCTGACCTCAAGTGATCCACCCGCCTTGGCTTTCCAAAGTGCTGGGATTACAGGTGTGAGCTACCATGCCTGGCCTGGTTTCATTAATTTTATTTTAGAATTGCAACAACACAGTTTCATCAGCTGAGGATATTTCTCTCACGTGCATTTCATACAAAAGTATCAGGATTATATAGCTGAAAAAAGCTTAAAAATCCACCAGACATCGTAAAAAAGTCTGAAGGGGTGCATCTCACACATGAACATAAAAACCCAGTCATCGTGCTGTGAACTACAAAAGGATCTTTAAAATACAAATAACTGGGCCTCACCCTCATTCTTTTTTTTTTTTTTCTTTTTTTTTGAGACGGAGTCTCACTCTGTCACCCAGGGTGGAGTGCAGTGGTGCTATCGTGGCTCACTGCAACTTCTGCGTCTCGGATTCAAGTGATTCTCCTGCCTCAGCCTCCCAAGTAGCTGGGATTACAGGCACCCACCACCACGCCCAGCTAATTTTTGTATTTTTAGTAGAAATGGGGTTTCGACATGTTGGCCAGGCTGGTCTAGAGCTCCTGACTTGAGGTGATCTGCCCGCCTCGGCCTCCCAAAATGCTGGGATTACTGCCACTTGAGCCACTGCGCCCGGCCCTCACCCTCATTCTTTAAAATCAGGATTTGCAGCATTTTTTTGCAACTATTATTTTTAAAAAGCTCCCCAGGTGATTCTCATGTAGAGATTAGCCCTTGTACATATCATGCCAGAGAGCAGAGAATTAATTTTATTAATTATATTTTTCATAAATCTATAGAGAATGATAATCTGCAGTCTCCCTTCCAATGTTCAACTACCCTTCCTATCAGGAGATATCTCTTTGTGGATAAATTAATCCTCATGCTGTATTGAAGCTTATTTCTCTCTGTTCCTCCTTAGTGAAGAGATTGTATCTAATAATACCTCACATTTCATTTGCTTAGAGTTTAATTTACAATGCTTTTTTGAGACAGAAAACAATTGGGTTCATTCCTAAAAAGTTACTTTCTTATAAACGAATCACCTCTTCACTTTCTGTTTTCCAGAATAAATTGTTATAATCTTCTACACACCTCCCACATTTTCCCCCATAGCACTCTGCACAATGTCTGGAACATAAATACTCAGTTGTTATTAGCACCTTTCCCGTTTTATTTTTGGCTTTCTTTTGAATATTTCCTAAGTGTTCCTCCACATCTGGAAGCCAGAATGAGTAGTGGGCTGGTTAGTGTTGAATATAATATGAGGGTTAGAGACTTCCTGTGGTTGATGGAAAGATTTTTACAGGCTTTTATTTTTTTAATTTTATTTATTTATGTATGTATTTTGAGACAGAGTCTCACTCTGTGGCCCAGGCTGGAGTGCAGTGGTGTGATTGCAGCTCACTGCAACCTCCACCTCCTGGGTTCAAGCGATTCTCCTGCCTCAGCCTCCCGAACAGCTGGGATTACAGGTGCGTGCCGCCACACCTGGCTGATTTTTGTGTTTTTATTGGAGACAGGGTTTCACCATGTTGGCCAGGCTGGTCTCAAACTCCAGACCTCAGGTGATCCTGACCTGCCCCGGCCTCCCAAAGTGCTGGGAGTACAGGCATGAGCCACCACACCTGGCTTTTTATAGACTTTTAGATCTGATACTCAGATATAGAAAGTTTGATGAATGCACCATTGTGTTCCAGAGGCACACTGAACAGGACATTTTATTACATTTTAAAAATCAATTTTGAAAACCTGTGTTATTATATTTAACAAAATGTGAACGAAACCACAAATTATTGTAAAAGCCTGATTCCTCAACAATAGGCATTATCAAACTGATAAGGGCTTGGTTAAGAGAAAATTGCTTTCTCCTCAAAGATGCTGATAAGTTCTTTATAATGAGGGGTGAGAGTCATGAAGCTTTGTGCCTTTCGTCATACTTTACCCCAAGAACATGTGAAATTATTGAGCTTTTTATGTTTTCTTAATGTTAAGTTTATCCTAAAACAAATATTGTTTTAGAACTTATCTCACTGGAATTTGGATTCAGAAGTACCTGTTTCTGAAAATAAAAACCTCCCAGCTGGAAGGGATGGAGCAGCAGGTGGTAAGAAATCCTAGATGTGTATACTTATACTGAAAGAATCACTCATATTAAAAGGGGGTTTGTTTTGAATATAATCAGTTTTATGTAACTATTAATTGTCATTTTTTATACACATTTCAGGCAAAATTAACAAGGTAAGGATGAATGTTTGGTTTTAAGGTATTCATAAAACATACGATTTTAAAATAAGTATGTTCTTTAAAAAAATTTTCTTCCTGAAAGTTAAACTTTAAATTTCATTTCTGTAGAGTTCTTCACACAAGTCAAAGTCAAATATTTTAGAGTTTCAAGTTGGTTATTAAATGAATATTTTGTTATATTAAGTATTTTTCAGTATAACAATAATATAAATGAAAATTGAGTATAGTATTTTTTAGTCATTGCCGAAAGGGAAGTAGTCCTGTCCTTTAAAATGTCTTGAAGCAGGCCGGGTGCAGTGGCTCATGCCTGTAATCCCAGCACTTTAGGAGGCTGAGGCAAGTGGATCACTTGAGGTCAGGAGTTTGAGACCAGCCTGTGCAATATGGTGAAACCCCATCTCTACAAAAATACAAAAAAATTAGCCAGGCATGGTGGCACATAGCTGTAGTCCCAGCTACTCGAGAGGCTGAGCTCAGCAGGAGAATCGCTTGAGCCCGGGAAACAGAGGTTTCAGTGAGCCGAGTTCGTGCCCCCGTACTCCAGCCTGGGCAACAGAACGAGACCCTGTCTCAACAACAACAAAATGTCTTGAAGCAGTTGAAATGACCAATATCTTGTTCTGAAGTAGTGGAAAATTAATCTTTTTGTTTATCCTTTTTGATCAAAACATAAAACATTTCACTGCAAAATAAAGACAATCTTAATGATATTCAAGTCTTATTAGTTAACAGTTTAGTTGGTATTTATAATAAATAGGTTTTACTAATTTCTGCTGAAATCAGTAAAAACAAATGATTTCTTTGTATATAAACAAAGTGTCATTCAGTTTTACCATACATTCCTTGATTAGAACAAGAACTATACATTGTTAGAACAAGAATAGGGAACAGAGATATATTATGTTTAAAAGTCTTCTGCTGCCTTATAGAACTATTTGGAAATTCCAGTGGAGCAACTGATGCTAGAACCTAATTTGTCGGTGCATAGTCAAAAAAGTACACAGGTGGGATTTTATTCTTCATACCCTTAAAATATTATATTTTAAAAATATATGCAGCTACTAAACTATTACCCATTATTTTTCTGTCATCAGAATAGTAAACAAGGGATCTTTCAATTATGGAATTGTCCTCTTAATGAAGGAAGTACCATAGAGAAGAGGTAAGCGAGTAGTTATTTTGTAACACCCTAAATTACTGAAATAAATTTAGATACACATGAGATAACTATTTGAAATACAAGGACCATGAACAACCAGAAGAAAATAGTATTCTGTGGGAATAGTGGGCAATTGTAGAAGTCCACCCTAAAGCAGGAAGTGGCTGCAGATACCACGAGACAATTAGAATAGGTAGGAGTCAAGAGCTGACCATGTTCTGACAATGAAGGTTTTAGATGGATAAAGTATGGACTTCCTGTTGAAAGCAAAAGGAACTGTAATAGGAAAGTAGTATTGCATTCCAGGGACTATGTTAATTCCTTATATGTAGTAATTCATTTAAATCACAACCGACCATGTAAGGAAGGTAGTTATCATCCCTGTTTTGCAGATGAGGACACTGAGGCATGGTGACAAGTTAAGTAACTTGCTCAAAGTCACACAATATTAATGAAAGGGAGAGCCAGGATATGAAAGTAGCCTCTCAGACCTTACCTGAGGTTTTTTTTTTTTTGAGACGGAGTTTTGCTCTTGTTGCCCAGGCTGGAGTGCAAAGATGCAATCTCAGCTCATCACAACCTCTGCCTCCTGGGTTGAAGCAATTCTCCTGCCTCAGCCTCTGGAGTAACTGGGTTTACAGGCATGGGCCACCACGCCCAGCTAATTTTGTATTTTTAGTAGAGACGGGGTTTCTCCATGTTGGTCACGCTGGTCTCAAACTCCCGACCTCAGGTGATCCACCCACCTCGGCCTCCCAAAGTTCTGGGATTACAGGTGTGAGCCACCATGCCAGGCCGCTTTTTTTTTTTTAAATACTTTTTTAAGTTCTGGGAATACATGTGCAGAACTTGCAGGTTTGTTACATAGGTATACACGTGCCATGGTGGTTTGCTGCACCCAACCTTACCTGAGTTTTAATTCTTTTTTTGTGTGTGTGTGACAAAGTTTCACTCTTGTTGCCCATGCTGGAGTGCAATGGCACGATCTCAGCTCACTGCAACCTCTGCCTCCCAGGTTCAAGCAATTCTCTGCCTCAGCTGCCTGAGTAGCTAGGATTACAGGTGCCCGCCACCATGCCTGGCTAATTTTTGTATTTTTAGTAGAGATGGGGTTTTACCATCTTGGCCAGGCTGGTCTTGAACTCCTGACCTTGTGATTCACCCACCTCGTCCTCCCAAAGTGCTGGGATTACGGGCGTGAGCCACCGTGCCCGGCCCCTGAATGTTAATTCTTATTTTTTTGATTCTTAAACTTTATCGTGCATTAAGACTAGCTAGAAGGCTTCTTGGAAACACAGGTTACTAGTATTTGGAAATGAATGCTTTTTGAGGGCTGCTTTGTGGAGCTTTTACATAGTGTCTTAGCTCATGGATCCTGAGTTCCATGGCTCTTTTGTGTAGTTTATTTAGCAGGAGAGTGGTTCACTTGTTATCAGCCATCTCCTAGTCAGAGAATTTTACTTCTGTGAGGCCTGGGATACAGTTCACTTTATGTTAAAATTCAAGGGGGAAATCAAGTTCTATGGCAGTTGTGGTGACTGATGACCTAAAGGAATATTGGTGCTGATGGGGATAAGAAAGGCTATTTTTATGAGAAAAAACCTCAGCTGGGAAAAAGTATTTCAAGGTAAGTGGTCAAATGAAGTGAACTGAATTTTATGACAGTAGCAGAGGAGCAAACAAATGGAGGCGGTAGAATGCAGCGGTTAGGACCTGGGGCATAGGAGTCCACCACGTGCAGTTCCAGCTCTCCCACTTCCTAGATGTGTGCCCTCAGCCACTCTACACCCCCGTTCCCTTATCTGCAAAAGGTGGAAAATAAAAGTGCCTATCTCATGAGGCTGTGAGGACTAAACAGAACAATGTGTTTGGCAGGCATTTGCTATTAATATTGGGTAGGTTTAATAATGTTGCAGAGATGGAAGTTTGGTATCAATGAAAGATTTTTCTCCTCAATATACCATCAACAAATAAAAAGAATAAAAGTAACGATAACTTAGTGTTTAACATTTTGCAAAGCATATTCATATAAATTCTCTTGCTTCTCAGACTACCTCCAAGGTAGGTATTATCATTTCCATTTTGCTCACTCACTGGTAGCAAAGGGGTTCAAACCTAGGCCCTCCCTTTCCAGATTTCACACTCTTCATACTACATGTACGTGTCTATTAACAGTTGTAGATTTAAAGTGATTTTCCTGTGGTTTTTCAAAGGCAAAGCAGTATGCCTAGTATTTAGCTAAATTAGTATTTTTTTCTTTTTCTTTTTCTCTTTTTTTTTTTGCAACAGGGCCTCATTCTGTCACCCAGGCTGGGGTGTAGTGGTGCAGTCATGGCTTACTGCAGCCTCAACCTCTGAGGCTGAAGCAGTCTTCCCAACTCAGCCTCCAGAGGAGCAGGGACTACAGGTGCATGCCTCCATGCCCAGCTAATTTTTTGTAGACAAGAATTTTGCCATGTTGCTCAGGCTGGTCTCAGAATCCCAGGCACAAGCAACCCGCCTGCCTTGGCCTCCCAAAGTGTTGGGATTACAGGTGTGAGCCACTGTGCCTGGCCTCGAAAGTATTTTTCAAAACTTTTCCAGATTACTTTGTTATCTTTAATGTCAACTGGCTTAAAAAGAAACAAGAGGATATCAAGACTATATGTCAACTAATGCATCAAATCTTTTAATCTCAGTATTTCTAGTTATCTTTAAAAAACAAAAACTAACTAGAAACTCAGTATTCTATGGCTTTTTTGTAGTTTTCATTTTAACATAATACCTAGAATTACTCCTAAAATAGAAGAGCATCATTATATGAAAATTACTAGGGACTATATCTGGGATAATTTTTAATAGGTATTGTTTGCTTCCTTTTTTGTTACAGTAATTTTTAAAAACCACAGTGGCTAACATAGAAGGCTTTTTAAAGTAACCTAATTACATTTTTTGAGTTTCCTTTTATCTAATTCTGGATCAATAAACATTTCACTTTAATTTCAGTTTGAGTTAGATATCCTCATTTTCAAACATAATAATTGCATGTACACTATAGACAAACATATAGTTAGCCACTTTTAACCTTTGTCTATTCACAGCTACAGTTAGCCGTTTTAGGTGTCATAATCTAGTCACCTGTGCTTGCACAAAGGGATGCCCAGTTAATATTTTAATCTATATTTTTAAAATTTATGTAGTTGTATATTAGAGCATTTTTGGAAACTAACATATTTCTGTTGCAGGTAGCTAGATACACATATGCCATTGGGAACTAAACATTAACCAATCTTTGATAAAGGGTACTTAACTGTATCATTTTAATAGCATTTTAATTCTAGTCAATAAACCATTCATTAATTAAATTATTTTTTAAAGGGAATTCAAAAAATCTTCAGTGGAAACTGGCTTTAATGTAATCAATCATCCTATAAGGGTCTTCACTCTGAACCACCCATTAACAATTGCTTCAGTTGATAAGCAAGTTGGTCCTTACCCTGGACTGCCAATGCCATTAGGTCTCTGCTGGCCCTATGCTGATGGAGACTTTTTTAAGAACAGAAATGAGATTCATGTTAGTTCATGTTCAACTATAGAAAACAATGATGGTGAAACATTACCTGCTCCAAATTGGAATTTGAAACATGGAAACAGCAGTGTGGAAGAAAATTTCACAGATGAAAGTGATTTATCAGAAAATGAGAAGACAAATGATACTTTACTCAGCTATTTTAAAAAGGTGGACCTGAACTTGAAGCCAGAAACAATAAAAAATGTTGAGGAACCTTTCACCGAGGAGCCAAATGAAGTATTTCCATATCCTGATTTTCTCCCTCCTCCTTTCAGTGCTCTAGACTTGCACAATTTAGCCCTCTCCAAATCTGACAATTGGAAAGTGACAGTGGACCCTGCAGAAACCTCTGTTGAACACTTGATAACTCGTTTACTGGAACTAGAACGATTACAACATATGACTATTCAAAAAGAGAGGCCAAGACTACAAACGACTTTCTGTACTCCAGCAGTTACTGAACGACCCTCTTCCTCCAAAGCTACACCAAAAGTGAGACAGCCAAAACTTTGCGACTCTTTGAGTCTTCAGATACCTTGTGTAGATAAAAGTCAAGAAAAAAGTAAAAACAACTCTGGTTCTTGTAAGCTTGAACAAAATGCTTTAAAACGGAATTGGAGCAATGCTGGCAAATATAGATGGAATTCTAGACCACTGTCTCTAAAAAGTTCTTCCACCCCAAAACAATTGATTGAAACTTATGATAAGAATCCCAAAAGTTCTATTTTAAGTCCATGCCAAGAACTCTCATTCAAACCTACTATTGGCCATACAAATCAATCAATGGTTAAAATGGTCTCCACAAGATGTCTGCCATGGAGGTCTCCAATGCCAGTTTCACCTATACCTCTGACTTTTCCCGAAAATCAGAAGGAAGAAATTAAGGCACCGAAGAGAAACTTTGGGACCAAAAAGAAACTTTACCGACAAAATATAGTGTTGAATAGACCATTCTCTATTCAGAAGCTAAACTGTTTGTCGCCTTCCCTTATTGCTAAGGATAAGTGCTGCTCACCCATTGAACAAAAATAACTCTTTTCTTTCATACATCTCAATGTGAACACATCTACTCTAAGAAGCCCAACTAAGATATGGTTAATTATTCCAAGACACAGGTACTATTAACAGTCCCCCAAAATCACCAAACAGTTGCTTGATGTGATATGGAGTAGAACTTGTGAAAAGCACTGCTGAGATGTCTATATATAAACCCACAGGCTTCTATACTGACATATTTCACAATCTTTTGCATGTTGTGTTTCAAGTAAATGGTTCACTTGGTAGACTATTCTATTCAAAAGGCTACTCTTTTTTCAGTGATTGTTTTCCAGTATAATTCCATCAATAAATGGTATAATTGACTTATTGCAGCTGTAGTTCTTGTCATATAGTCATAAGAGTTGATTTTTTAAAAAGTCTTTCTCACTCTGGTATCATTTTTTTTTTCCTGTGCCCTCATCTCCACAGATCTATCATTTTGACCTATCCTTTGGGCATTTACTTGGCCCTTAAAAGCTAAAGAAGTTGTTGTTCTGTTAATGTACAAGATCCTCTAGATCCTCCTAGCTCCTCCCAAATCCTTAGAAATTTTCTGTCCCTGGCCTTTCTTTGTCATTTACATGAAAGATAGTTCTCTTTGGGGCCCAACTACAGGTTTAGGCTTGAAATAACCCTCTTCCACTCAGATCCAGTATTTTCTAAATGTTGAAGGAAAAATTGAGTAAGATCATTGTCCACAGAGCAGCCAAAATGTCATGTTACTAGAGTTTTTTCCAAGGCTCTGCACTGCTGGAAGTCTTAAGGCTGGTTAGTTGAAATTCATTCAGCCAACACATAACTCATTAACTAGCGAAAAAGGAAAACTATGTGACTGACAAACTTTACTGCCCCTAAGAATCAAGGAAACAAATAGAGTCCTAGCTTCTATTGCAGGCCCTCTGAAACACAATCTTTGGAATTGGGACCCATGGACACACATTATAAACAAATATTCCAGGTGATTTTAATGCAGGTGGTTCTTGGATCACACTTTGAAAGATGTAAAGGAAAGGATTGATGTAACATACATAAATTAGAGGTTCAGATATTTTGGAATATACTGTGTTTGGGTTTTAAGTGGATGGTTGGTGAATTCAAATTAATTTTTCTAAAAATTAAAAAAATACACAATTAAAACTTCAACCATTATCCAAAGGTACCAAATGAAAAGTAAGGTGGCTGTGCGTGGTGGCTCACACCTGTAATCCCAGCACTTTGGGAAGCTGAGGTGGGTGGATCACGAGGTCAGGAGTTCAAGACCAGCCTGACCAAGATAGTGAAACCCTGTCTCTACTAAAAATACAAAAATTAGCTGGGCGTGGTGGTGGGTGCCTGTAATCCCAGCTACTCTGGAGGCTGAGACAGAGAACTGCTTGAACCCGGGAGGTGGAGGTTGCAGTGAGCCGACATTGCCCATAGCCTGGGCAACAGAGCAAAACTCCATCTCAAAAAAAAAAAAAAAAAAAAAGCCGTTCCCCCCGTAACCCCACACACAAAGACAGCCACTAAATGTTTGGGTGTCATCCCTGCAAATGAGATGGAATATTGGAATATTTGAGTTAGGGATGAGTGAATTAATGAATAATTCAAATAAATGCAGAAGAGAACAACTGTAGCTTTTCCAGCTTTAGTAGCTTAAGGTTCAAAGTTTTCTTAGAGGCAGGGGTCAGAGAGCATGCTTAGTTTTTAATTTCAAAGAATTTTCTAGAATCATATAGCACAGCAATAGAAAACAAACGTAATTGGTTAGTCTTAGCATAATGAAATTTTACCTGTATCCCATACAATCAGTCCCGTTAATCCAAAGTGGTATAATATCCCTCTCATAAAAGTATATGCCAAAGTGGACTTACATTTTCACTAAATTCCAACTTGCAGTGACCTGTTTCCCACAAACCATCTTTAATTCTTACAATTCCTTCTAACTTGTGTACTGAACCTTTTTGACAAGCCCTCTGTGTCCATTCTCGTTTCTACTTTCCTTAGCTACCTGGATTCTTTCCCTCACCCCCAGGGTTATGATGTAATTTTTATTTGTAAAACCTTCAGAAAGGACATGCCTGTTTGCTCACCACTGTATCCTGGCAGGTAGTACTTGACTACCAACTGTCATGCATGACATAGTGGTTACAAGCACTAGCTCTGTCGCTAGGCTGTCTAAATTCGAACCCAGACTCCTGCCACTGAACACCTAACACCTTTAGCAGTTTCCTTAACCTCTCTTGCTTCACTTTTCTGATGGGTAAAGTGGGTAGACTGTCTTTATCTCATATAATCATGTGCGGGTTAAATGACCAGCAGCAAAAGTGCCTGGCATATACAAGTATTCACAAAATACATTAGGGAAGTAAGAATGACACAGGAGGGCAAACCATCTCGAGAATGGACCTCCTTAGCACTAGTTAGGTGCAGAACAATAATTCCTAACAATGTCCTGTTTCTTGCAGGGCATGTGCCAAGGCACAGGGAAATGGTACGGTGCAACAGACACAAACCCTTTCAGTAAGACTAGGCGTGGGAATGGGCATGGGAGATGGGACTGAGACCAGAAGTGGCAAGTTTTGTAGGGATTAGAGATGTATCATCTCAAATTTATCCTGTAGACTGACAGGGGAAAAAGACCTGGTTCAAACAGGTGAAGTGGGACCCACTTGTCTACATATGTAGTGGACAAAACTGGAGACATGAATACAAAATATTTGGCTATTTTTCATACTTGGTGGAAGTCAACGCCCACCATTATCTTTAAATAAGAAAACATTTGGCAGTTTATAACACACATATAAATTCTGTTCGGGAAAACCTAGTTTGCTGATAAATACCCATGTTTAGCTCTCCAGTCATTGATGGTCCTCAGCTCACTGGATCTTCATGAGGTTGAATCTTTCTAATTAGAGAAAGTATGTGTGGCCGGGTGTGGTGGCTCATGCCTGTAATCCCAGCACTTTGGGAGGCTCAGGCGTGTGGATCACCTGAGGTCAGGAGGCGGAGGCGAGCTGTGATCGTGCCACTGCACTCCAGCCTGGCGATAGACGGCGAGTCCGTCTCAAAAAAAAGAAAAAAAGAAAGAAAAAAAGTATGTGTGAAAGGTCCTTAACCAATACATCCTGCATACTATTTTCCCTAAAATGTACCAGATACAATAACCTCATAGCCACTTTAGATAGTTATGCAGTCTAACAAAATTATAACTGGGGCCTTTACATGAAGACTATCCAGAGCCAGTGCCATTTGACCATTTCTCAGCCCAGAATCAAGCATACTAGCTTCTACCTGCCACTCTGCGGTGGTTAGCTCCAATGGGGTGGGTGGGTGCATTCTACAAGGCCATTCTGCCTGCCTTATCTGCTTTGCATGCACTAAGATTCACAAACTACACTGTGAATCTATTTTACTCACTGTTTTGAAAAGCCAAAAACAGTTCCTTAAAAGAAGAAAATAAAGAGTGGGTATACTGAGGATAAGAGCCCAAGATTTGTCAAGCTATCATGTGAGCAATGAACCAATTTATTTTTATCATTATAAAAACAGGAGTTGGCTCATTACTTATCTGTTTCCTTTACTAGGAAAACCAAAGCAGAAATGTATGTAACAGGAACACGAATATAATACACTCTTTGGTGTTGTGCACCTAATGCTTTGAAAATGTTTTGATGTTTGTGAGGAAAATCTGAACTCAACCAAAGAAAAAAACCAGGAGACAATATGATAATAAGAGGCATATTTTATTCAGTTTCCCAGTAAGTCAATTAGAAACATGCACTGCTAAAATGCAAGTTACAATTCAAATGGTACCATAAATAATTAGAGTACACACTGAGCATTTTCAGAAATCAGCTTCCATATCTTGATCACTAAATGGAAAGGTTCTTCAGAACAGTCCCTTACCCTATATACAGAAGGAGAAGAAAAATTAAGGATGCCATAATGACATCTATCAGAATAACTGGAAAACATTTTAATTTAGCATACATTATTGACATGTAAAAAACACAAATGAATTTGTCGTGAACATTTCTATAAGGAAGACATTCCATTAGGAGGAGAATGATAAAATTCATGTTGAATATATGCTGGAACTAGGATACTATTAAGAAAGAAACACATTTATGAAGCCCAATTGGTAAAGATGTCATTATAACTAAATGAGGAAAATTACATATTTGAATATATGGCTTTCTTTCCTATCTTCAACATTCAAAAGGGCCATTTCTTAACTACTTCGCCTAAATTTTATCATGTTGATTCCTTTGTTTCATCTCAGAGATTTTATTTCTACCCCATATAGCTAGAGTTCTGCTTACAAATGATAAAATACAGGTAAAGCATAAGAGGAATGCAAATATGGAACAAAACTGAGAACATTACATTTTACTTACTCTACCACATACCATAAAACAGTACATAAATATTTCATTTTGAAAAAAAAGTCCTGAGTACTTATTTTTGTTAGGAATAAAGTGGTACTTAATAATGGCAAAACATTTCTATTATTTTAAAACAAAATTTTGAGACAGTAGAGTGAAATGAGATAGCTATCAGGGAATGAAGAAAACAGGATGTATTAATAACGATTTAAGGGTGAATATAAGATGCTCCCCCTGCTCAAAACCTCGAAATTCCAACCTCATTTCTGATGATCTTCAAGAATAAAGTCTATCCAGAGTGTAAAAAATGTCTATGCTTTCCAGATCTCAACTATTCTCCCAACCCTAGAAAAAACTGTAACATCTTTGAGAGCCGTACCTAACACTTCTATGAGCCCTCAAGTCTGACAATCACTTGATATCACTTTTGCCATAAAGTATAATAAAAGCAAAAAATTCACGGCAGATAGCATTTGAAAAGCATACAGCTACTCTAAAAGAGGAATGCACATTTATTCAGGAGCATTCACTAAATAAATTCAATCTAGTAGGTCTTGCAGAGTTCCAAATTGCACCTCAGCAAAATTACAGAGTGTAGGAAAATCATGTAACGTACATAAGACAGTTGATAGGGTTCCTTTCAAATAGGTAGTCTAGATATGCTAAATTGGGGAGTATAAAAAACCCAGAGTATCTTTTTCATTTCCCTTAAAAAAAATGGCTCTGAATATTTTGTCTACTTTAAGACTGGAACACTGGTTAATAACGAGGTTTCTACAGGGTAAGTTGGGGAACAGATACTAAAGGAGTTGAACAGTATTCTTAATATTCCAGTTTGTATTCTTTTGCATCTGCCTAAAGCTGAAGACTACTTTCAGATATATGCTATTCTGGTGGTTGCTGTTTTTCTAAGAATCCTTAACATCCAATTTTGACAACCATGTGTTATGTGGAATCTCAGCATCCAGCAGCCTTTTATATTACTAAAGTTGACCACTATTTTTATTTTAGGGGAGGAGAAACTGGGGGAGGGGAGAGGCAGGAAGTATGATAAAACAAGCACTTTACAGACGCACTCCACAACAGCACTAATTCTAAATACCAAACACCAATAAAACCCAAATCATAATGCTGAAAACTAAAAAATTAGACAAAAAATAAATGAAGGATTGTTTTTTAATAAATCTTTTATAGGACAGAAACCTTAGCTCATGTCTTCTGGTTGTCATCATCTTCCACTGAGCTGCACCTAAAACACAAAGAACAAGTAACAAGCAACTTTGTTTTTTAAAGAACAGGTAACAGTTTTGAAGGTATAAGATGAACTGTTTCTAGTGGAACTTACTTAAAAAATTACATAAAATGAAGCCATAAACATCACCAGAAGCATCAAATTGTCAACTACTTTGGGTGAAAATAACTACAAGAGACTTGAATATGCAGCATATTATCACCGAAATAAATAATGGTGGGAAAATCACTACCCATTTCATTAAGGTAGAATAGCTGCACCTGTGACGCCTTAATTAAAAGGCTTCACTCTACCTGAAGATGAAAATCACCTTGTATTTATTTTAGTAAGTCTAAACCGTGAAGAGACGGGGTGTAGGTTCAGAGGTGGCTTATTATATCATCTATCACCTTCCTGGCTGTAGTTCATTTCATGTCTTTAAATGGAGCAAAACCCACCAGAAGAATCAATGCTGCTATTCTGATTTTCCATTCTTGAATGCACCAAAATGTGCATGCTTGTTGTAATTAGGTGCCTGGGTGAATAAAAAAATCCCATTTACAATTTAAAAATATTATTTAAACCCCTAAAATCTGATTATTTTCCATATTCCTCAGGGAGACAAGCATTAATTTTACCCCCCAAACAGCAAAGATTACATATATTTCTGAAAAATTCTCTTCTACCATGTTAATAATACAAATTCCTTTGTGTTGCAAAACCAAGCTGATTTAAACGATTTTGTCTTAAATTGTTGCTAAATGTTTATCTACACATGCTGTCAGAAATAACCTTGTTAAGAAGGTGAAGCTGGTGTCTCAGCAAATCAGACCCCTTGGAGAAGGCGTCGAATGGCCTGTGCCCCGTTTTCCTTTTTCTCTTTCCGCACCATCAAAAGGAAAAGTGAGAAAATAGCAGAAACATTAGTTAAATCCTGAATTATACCCCATAACCTACAGGAATAATCTCACTACACTGAAAGCTGACAATATTTGTAGGATTTTTTGAAATAATTAGGATCCTAATTATTAATAAACTGGTAATTTTGGCTAGGTTTACATCTTTAACTAATAATACTTTCAATTAAAAACTTTCAGGAAAAAAACAAAAGGTTGCTTTTAACTATTTATGGTTTACCTGACTTACCAGCACTGAAGACAAAAACTTTTAAAAATGGCTACAAATGCCTTGTTCACAAAAGACTTTATTATCTAGTGATGCATACTGAGAACATACAGAAATCTGCATGGTCCACTTCACATGCAGTAGAACAATCTTCACTTTACAATAAGTGAGTGTCAACTGTTTTATGCAATAGACAACACTTTAAAGTCACATTCTTAAAGAAAAGCTTCATTTACAAAAGAAATAAAAGGTAAAGAAGCAATTACCGCTTTTAAAAAGCAGCTGCTTTGTTCAAGAGTGGAAGGTTTATGCCTGTATTGAAAGACAACATGATCACAAATAATGAAAACAATGAACAAATGAAAAACACTTTTACCATAAAGCAGTACACTTTCAAAATGACATACAAATAGTTAAAAATTTCATTACGTTGTCTAGCCTTTAAATATGAGGACTTTCAGAATTAGGCCTCAACATTTGTAATTAGTAAATGAAAACTACGCATCGTTTCTATGTCACTAGGAACTATATTTAACAAAATGTATATAAAGTCTATAGCAAGTTGATTTAAAAAAAGTAAAGTTAATAAGAAACAGTACACTGAAGGCGCTCTATCCATCAAGCGCGTTCTCTTCCAATTTTAAATGTGATGAACAAACAGAAATTGTAACTATGCCACAGTTGCAATGCCAAAAAATAAAACAAGATCAGTTATCACACATGCAGGGAATTCTGCCACAAAGCTAACATCCCTCATTTGTCAGTTGTTCCAATAAAATAACATCTTAAAACACCAGAGATGTTGATGGTTTAGCTTACCTTCAGTGTACTGAATGCTGCACACAACCTGCTTTAAAAGGAGACCATCCCTGCAGGCAGGCTCAAGAAGGAACAGACCCCTTTCGGCACTGACTACACCAAGGGCATGCTGCTGTGGCCTGCACACACACACCTAGGAAAACGTGAATATAAACAGCATTTATGCTGGCCATTTTATCTCAAGACCAAAATGAAGCCAAGTCTGCTAAGAACAAATCAACCACCCAATATTACTACTCATTTCATAACAGATGCTTTTGTCTTTATGTGAACTGCAACCATATACATTAGCACTGTAATTTTGTGCAGTCTTGGCAATTTAAAACAGTCTACAGTGAAATTTCACGTAAGACACAAAACAGATTAACTAACATCTCTAAAAGAAATATCACCCTTGGTGTTAATTCAAATATATCATGCTTCCTCAAATTTGCTGGAGAAATATTTATAAGTTTATATACATTAATAAACTGCTGTGAAATTTCTTCAGTCTTTGTATTTACTCAAACCCTTGGAGTTTCTTCATCTTGTTTAAATTTTTTCCTGGATGAAGGCGTGCTGTAGGGCCTGGTTGATGCTAATTCGTTTAGCTGGGTCCAACATCAGAATCTGGTCCAACAAGTCCTTTAGCTGGTGTACTTTCTTACGTTGGTCTTCAGGAAGTCTCTGGCACCCAATCAAGTCAGCCAACAGGTCCTTAGTTGGATTAATGGTGCTCATAACAGTAACTTTCTCCTAAAAATAATTTTTAAAATGCGTATCTCTAAATAAGTTACTAAGCATATACAACTTAAATCAGATTGTTTTGGGGTCTATCAAAAATATTAAAAACATGCATATACATACAAAATATATACACACAGTGCACATTTTGGGCAATGACAGACTGCATATATGACAGTGGTCCCTTAAGATTGGAATACCGTATTTTTGCTCTCCCTTTTCTATGTTTAGATACATACATACACTTACCACTTGCAAAAGTGCCTACAGTATTCAGTCCACCAACTTACAGTTCAGGCCTAGAAGCAAAAGGCCATACTACTTACCCTAGATGTGTGTGAGTGTATGCTGTGGTTATGTGACGCATGACTGTATCATCATCATCTATTCATTTAAAACTTTGCTGTGGTTTCCTCTATGCTGTACATCTTTTTAAAAGGTAACCAAAAAACTTAAATGAAAAAGTTGATGCCAACTCTGGGCTGGGCGCGGTGGCTCACACCTGTAATCCCAGCACTTTGGAAGCCCAAGGTAGGTGGATCACTTGAGCTCAGGAATTCGAGACCAGCCTGGGCAACACTGCAAAACCCATCTCTACTAAAAATACAAAAATTATCCAGGCGTGGTGGCACACAATTGTAATCCCAGCTACTCGGGAGGCTGAGGCATGAGAATTGCTTGAACCTGGGAGGCAGAGGTTGCTGTGAGCCAAGATCGTGCCATTGCACTTCACCCTGGGTGACAGGTGACAGAGCGAGACTCAGTCTCAAAAAAGAAAAAAAAAGTCAACTCCAAGTTAGCAATGAAAATTTACAATAAGATAAGCATGAGCTGTTTGCACTGTACTTTCCCTACCTTGAAGTGGTAAGTGACAGACATGTGAATAAGTTAATACCCTGAAGTATTATTAAGTGCTCTGACAAAGACAGGGACATATGCTATAATAATGGGACAAAAATAAGGAAATCATTACTTCAATCTGGGAGTTTTCAAAAGGCTCATACAGAATGTGTATTTCAGCTGAGGCTTGAAGATGATACATTTTTTAGGGGGTTGGGGGTGAGGCAGCACAGGAAATGACTAAGCTCAGGGAGGTCTGTTAGCAAAGGCACAAAGGTCTGAACCAGCACGCCTTCTGGCCAAATGTGGAAAGGTGGGGGTTCTGAATGTACTGAAGAGAGGTCTGAAAACTGAAGAAAGCAGTTGGATTTGTCATTCTGAGGAACTTAAATATTATTTCATAGGTAACAGGGAGCCAACAAAGGTTTTTAAGCAGGGATAGGAACATGACCAGATATGTTTTCAGAAACATCACTCTAGCAGCAATAAGAAAGCTGGATGGGAAGCCAGACCAAGAAAGTAATCCAAAGAAGATGTGACGAGGGCCTAAATATGACCTATAATAAAAATAAATTAATTATGCTAGAAAAACATTTTAAAATCCCTCCATCTTTTCCATGGTCTGATGTGTTTTATTTAGGAATTGGTCGACAGCAAAAAGGAAATACTTACTTTTGGGTTTTTGTTTTTTTTTTAATTCACCAGCTCGTATGATTTAGTACTCAGTTAACAATAAAATAACTATTGCATGCTGCATTTAAAACACTTACCCTCTCTGTTACTTTATCAACTTCTATGTACATGAAGTTGAGATTTTGATCAAAATGCTGATCTTTGAACACACCTTTTCGAATCATCTACAAAACAAAACAAAAACTTGGGTTTTGAACTATTATGAAACAGGCCTACTAACAATTTAATTAATATACAATAAGTCAAATAAGTATGTTATTTAGTCTCTGTAGGTTTGTTTGATCTCAGATTCCCTTGATCCCAGGAATTCATTAACATCTTTGCAAAAGCAAATACCAATGCTGTACCTAAAACTACTTAATAACATGAAATTATATTTGTCCAGGCAGTGACTTAAAACAATTATAACATCAAATTGTCCTTTCACTATTTAAAATTGGAGAGTCAACAAAGACTTTAAATTATTTCTTCCTAAAAATATCACAAAACTCAGGTTTTTTCTCCTTGGCAGTTAGGGAACCTAATGCCACTTTACTAATTATGTTCCAACAGCCCTGATACAGGTCAGACTTCATTAAAACTAATACCAACATAGCTCATTTTTATGTAACTTATTCTAAAAAAAGTCCAACCTAATAGAATTTGGACAATATGTACAAATCAGCCTGGTCAACATAGTGAAACTCCATCTCTACAAAAAAATTATTAAATAAATTAACTGGTTGTGGTGGCACATGCCTGTAGTCCCAGCTACATTGGAGACTGAGGCAGGAGAACTGCTTGAGCCCAGGGGTTCGGTTCAAGGCTGCAGTGAGCTATAACTGTACTCCAGTCTGGGACACAGAGCAAGATCCAGTCTCAAAACAACAACAACAACAAAACACAACTGAAAACCATACAGTTTTCTGACCTTTACGAAAAATGTGTAAATCTTTAGAAATTCAGCAAATAGGCTGAAATCTTAAAAAGCTAAGTTACAGCCGGGTGCGGTGGCTCATGCCTATAGCTACTCGGGAGGCTGAGGCAGGAGAATGGCATGAACCCGGGAGGCAGAGCTTGCAGTAAGCTGAGATCGCGCCACTGCACTGCAGCCTGGGCGACAAAGCAAGACTCCGTCTCAAAAAAAAAAAAAAAAAAAAAGCTAAGTTATGGCCCTCAGATACTTTAATAAATGCTTACATTCTTGCTTCATGTTAAACAGAAACTAGCATTATAGCTGAAGTATCAGCGGTGAGTTAGAAAGATATTAAATAAGAAAAGGTACCAAGAAAGGTACCTTACTTTCTCAAATAACCTCCAATCTTTAATAAATTAATTAACATCAAGTTCCTCTTACAATATCTAATATTCACCTATTCATTCTCTGACCACTAAGCATGTTCTTGTATTTTACCTAATTCAACTTACATCTTTTTCCATTCTGTCTTCCAAACATTTTGAAACTTTTACCCATAAGGGTGTATCCCCAAAATATTGCTGCTCTCTGTCCATCATTGAACAAGTTCTCTTATCCTTAGCGCTTGGCTGATTAGAACCACTAATTTAAAACACCAGAAAAGGGAAAGACCCTAAGAAATCATGATAGCCATCTACCCACCTTTCTGAAATTTTTGTTTTATAGCTCACTAGTGGTGAGCAAGTGTCAGCAGTCTTGTCAGTTAATAAGAAACTAAGACCTTAAAGAAGCTCATGCTAATGTCTTACCTTATTTGGCATCTTTCCTTTGAGATCCATTGCAAGCTTCAGCATATGGTTATTGGTTTTGCCAGGGAATAAAATTTTTCCAGTATAGAGTTCGTATAAGGTGCAACCTACAGACCACATATCTATACCATAGTCATAGCTTTTACCTATAACTGAAAACAAAATCAAAGTTTTAATATACGAGGATAGAGAAAACTGACGACTATTAATTTTTATTTCCATTAATGAGGGGCTGGCTACCTTAGCTTGGACTATAACCACAATCTTCATGCCTTAGTTTGACAATTAGTTTTGTGTTCTTTCCCACTAATTCTTAATAGAGACTCAAACTTAAAAACCTTAAAAAATGGAGGTGTAGGGGAGGAACTTAAAGGGCAAAAGAAAATATGTATTTCTTCTCTTTTCTCATTTCGCCTTTGGTGGAGGTGCTAATCAGCCTCAACCAAGGCAACAGGAAAAAACAAAGGTCCCATACAATCCATAAATGTGATAATCAGACCTTGAATAATCAAGAGCAGTCTTCTAAAGTCGAGGATTTTCCACAACTGTTTTGCTACTCTTGCCCGACATGATCAAGACTCCTGTCACAACTACCTTCATTCCACCTGAGGAGGATGAACTTGCTATGGTTCCCTTCCTCATGAATGAACTCGTGCAGCTGCTGAAGTGTGATGGAAAACAGTGCTTAGACATTAAGTATGCGGTTTCCACCACATATGATGGCCCAGGTCAAAGAACATTAAGAAACTTACTGATTTCAGGAGCACGATAAAATCTACTGACAAGATAAGGTGTTATGTCATTATCCGCAACATGTGAAGCCGACCCAAAATCGCAAAGCTTTAAAATAGTTTTGGATTCATTAACCTGCAAAACATTTTTTCAAGGGAATTTAATTCAAGCCAGGAATAATTAATACAAATAAATAAAAATTATTGGCTTTGAAAAGTTTTATTAATTCCAATACTGAGAACAAAGACATTCATTTAAAAATTCCTTTTCTATTTATTTTTAATTCAATTTCCTAACTATGAAAAGTTAATATGTATCAAATATTCATTACAATGAGTAAAAACTGTTTTCAGTGAGGAAATGGATATCACAAAGTACATTTAATTTTAACAACTGCATTTTTAAAAGGGTGGGGTACTGAGAGAAAAATCTAATTTCATGAAGCAAAGCATCTTCTAAAAAGACCCTGAATACCTGAATAAAGTCAAGTTTTATAACTAAGGAATCAGACTTAACTTTCAGTTGCCAGAGAATTACAATGGCAATGAAAGCAGAAGGGTGATTCAGAATAAACTTGGACAAAAACAAAATATTCTTCATCCGAAGCTGCTATATGATCCCAAATTTAGCAATCACTTCAAGTCTAAAAAATATTAAATCCCTCAAATATAAAGAAGGTATTAGTCAAGAAAATGTTAAATATATCTGGCAAAACTGATAAACATGAACTCTATATTAGTCATTTGTTTCTTTTTTCCTTTGTAAATACTTCAACATACACAGTAATAGTGACATCTGCTGAGAAAGGCTGGAGTTGCTCCCATGACTGCTGCCACTCATGAGTCAGAGGCATGTTCAGGATTAACAAGTGAAGATAATTCATATTCCAGAGTCCCTTCCCCCCTTCAAAAGAGACACACACAAATTCCGAGTTGGGACTTGAACTTGGCCTACTGCTCCCACCCCAAAGCAGCATAACACTATAGCCTTAGGCAGTCTCTATGGGGAGACTGGACTATTATAAATGATATCCAGAGTTAAGCTATTAATAGGAACAGAAATGATTATTTTTAACTCCCACATTGATTACTATTCTTTTCATCTTGGGAATCAGAAAAGCATCTTAAAATAGAAAAGTTATTTTAAAACTTTTTAAAGTGTAAGCTGAATTCAGCTACTTAAGCAGTTTCAATACCCACAGAAAACTTAAGAACCATTTTAAAATTAGAATCCATCAGTGGAACTCTTGGGCTGGCTAAAATGCCTTAAAGAATAGCAGGGTATCCATACTCATATGCACTTCAGTTTGCTACACAACTTCTGCTCCTGTCATGAGGAATGTGGTACTTAAACCACACTGATACCTGAAATTACGAGCTAAAGGCTTTGGATTTTCATTAACAAAAATCAGCTCCGTCATTAAGGTCTATTTTTTCCTTCCCCAGGAAGACGGGAAAACATTTCTTAAATGTATGTGAAAACCTATACTAGTTTAGCATTAGGTTTTAAAAACAAGAGTTTCTTCTGTGACACTGGCAAATGTGTTATTCTTTAACCTCCACAATGGTCACAAAGACGCTCACTGTAAATGACCTTTTAAATTGTACATGTTTTGCATATTCTTTGACATGAACCATGTATTTCACAATTAAAAAACAAAAAATTGGCTCACGCTTATAATCCCAGCACTTTGGGAGGACGAGGCGGGCAGATCACGAGGTTAGGAGATTAAGACCATCCTGGCCAACATGGTGAAACCCCGTCTCTACTAAAATACAAAAATTAGCTGGGCGTGGTGGCCCCTGCCTGTAATCCCAGTTACTCGGGAGGCTGAGGCAGGAGAAATGCTTGAACCAGGGAGTTGGAGGTTGCAGTGAGCCGAGATCACGCCATTGCACTCCAGCCTGGTAACAGGGCAAGGCTGTGTCTCATAAAAAAAACTGAGGTAAAAATCAACTATGAAATTGGCCACACAAATTTATACTTCATTTTTAATGTACCTACCATTTCAATGAAATTACTCAGCTCCCCTAACTCCAAGTTACATTAGATATACAATACAATAATAATTCAGACCAAACATAAAAATGGAATACACCTCATTACTAATGTGGTTGTCTGGAAGGAAATAAAGGAAATATTTTAAGATATTAACAAAAAAGAAAAAGAAATATGAATTAAATAGCTTAGTTATTGATTAAAAAAAAACTCCTTAAACTTTAATGAGATCACCATTTTTTAAAGAATTTATCTTGGCCAAGCATGGTAGCTCACACCTATAATCCCAGCACTTTGGGAGGCTGCAGCAGGAGGATTGCTTGAGCCCAGGAGTTTGAGACCAGCCAAACCTCATCTCTAAAAAAAATTTTTTTTAATTAGGCAGTCACAGTGGCATGTGCCTGTGGGTAGTCCCAGCTACTGGGGAGGCGGAGGCAGGAGAACTGCTTGGGCTTAGGAGTTGGAGGTTACAGTGAGCCATTATGGCACCACTGCACTCTAGCCTGGGTGACAGAACAAGACCTTACCTCAAAACAAAACAAAACAAAACAAAAAAAACAAAAGAAAAAATCAAAAGTATTTATTTTGTTATAGCTCCAAGAGTTCCCAATAAAGAACACCTTACACGCTTAGCTTTTAGTCTTCAGGATCTCTCCTAGGCATCAACTGTAGGAGAACTGATAAAGAGAACCCATTTTAAAAAAATGAAATGCAGAATGTTACCAGCATATAAGCTGGAATTCTCCAAGTTGCGAACACGACCCAAACTGAAGGCCACAAAACAGGGTAAAGTAATGGGGCCAGGGAGGGGAGGAGTGTGTGTGTGCATTAATCACATCACTATGATAATATGTATGTATTTCAAAATTTTAAAAACATATACATTGTGAAATCTGCTGTTACCACCAGAAGTCACTAGTCGAAGAGAATTAAGGTTTCAAAAGGTGAGAACACATGGACACACAGGGGAACAATACACACTGGGGTCCGTCAGAGGCTGGAGGGTGAGAGATGGGAGAGGATCAGGAAAAGTGGGTACAAACCCTCCATGACACAAGTTTACCTATGTAACAAGCCTGCACATGTACCCCTGAACTTGAAAGTTTAAAAATAAAATAAAATAAACTTCAAAAGCGATGCCTTTAAATATAATACCTAACCACAACTGAGCTTTATTGTGTTTGAGCCCCCAGGAGCCACAGCTTAGGGAGCTATAAAATTAGCAAACAGAAGAGTACGGACACTCCTTATTTCAAAACAGCAACATGTGCAGCATTTTTCTAAAGATAACAGAAGAAACTCATTACTACAGTAAAGCATTCCAGGATTGGTGCACACTTTAAATCTATCAGTCAAAAGAGAAAAAAAGGGACAATTGTACATTTCCTTTTTCTTCATACTTGTCAATAAAATTTCACTGTCCGATTTCCAAGAAAGATAAAAAAGTATTAGTCATTTGAAATAGGTTATTAATATACTGAACTATGCTTCTAAGATGTCGTTTCTCATAGTAATAATATTACTGCTAGTAAGAAGTGAAATGTATGTTCAAGATGTACAGCGCAGCTTGGCTGTTTGACTTACCAGGATATTGTCTGGCTTGATATCTGCATGTAGGATATTGCATCTTTTAAGGAGTTTCAATGCCAGGAACAACTGCTGACTATAGGATCTTACAGCTTTAATATGAAGACCAACATCTTTACCATATTTTTTTAACACCTCTCGTAAGTTCATGCTTTTAGGAGAAAATTAAAAAAAGAAAACAAAATAGGAGTTAAAATGCAAAATGGAAATATAAAAAGGCAAAAACATTTGCAAGCATAAAGTAAAATCAAGCGCAAAATAAAAATATGTAAGAACCACCCCCACATTTGATAAATCATTTTATATTGAAAGGAGAGCATATCAAATTGTATGTATATAACACAGTTTCTGAATAAATTCAAATTTTCTAAATAGGTAAGAAGAAAGATATGCAAGGTAAAACTCCCATTTCGATTTTAGAATAGATTCACATCTGAAAACACAACAAAGCCACACTGTTGAAGATAAAAATTCCTTCCTTGAAGTATTTCATTTTAAGAGAGACTCTCTGTTGAACCCGGGAGGTGGAGGTTGCAGCGAGCCAAGACTGCACCACTGTACTCCGGGAGGAGCAACAGAGTGAGACTGTCTCAACAACAACAACAACAACAACAACAAAGACTAGCTGTTAACCACAAGTTAAAAACAAAAACCAGAGCTGTGTGGATAAAACAAATCAAATACGCAGAAAATCTGTTACAGCATTTATCCAAAATGAGATCGTAAAGATGAAGAAGTTAAATTTGCAATTTAATGCACACGTTTTGACATTGTACCTGAGAGGCTCGAATACCAGACAAAGATGCTGCTTGTGATAGAAGTGCCTGAAGAGTCTCAGACAATGAAATTTGTCATCAGGATCAGCATCATTAAGTTTTTTCAAGAACTCTAATTCTTTTAAACCAGTCTTTTGCCTAAAATAAAAAAAAAAATTGGGGTAAAATTGAATATATACAGAATTTAGGAGCACTAAATAATGTATTTGCTAGCCCCAGTATGACGATCAGGTGATGTGTGGGAGAAGTCTGTATATTTTTAAGTACTAATAAATCTACTGAGAAATGGTGTCTCTATATATCATTCACATAACACTTTATAGTTAGTCAACTATCATTATCATACATAGAGTTAATTTCCAAAATAATCACTGCACAAAACAGAAACATTGAGGAACAAACCCATCTTATTTTGATTTTTAAAAAATTTTGATTTTGCCTGAAGGAATATCAATCTTGTATATTTTATCTCAAAACAGGCCAGGCGCGGTAGCTCATGCCTGTAATCCCAGAATTTTGGGAGGCAGAAGTGGGTGGATCACTTGAGGTGAGGAGTTCAAGACCAGCCTGGTCAACATAGCGAAACCCTGTCTCTACTAAAAATACAAAAATTAGCCAAGGGTGGTGGCGGGTGCCTGTAGTCCCAGCTACTCGGGAGGCTGAGGCAGGAGAATGGCTTGAACCCGGGAGACGGAGGGTTTGCAGTTGAGCTGAGATCTCACCACCGCACGCCAGCCTGGGCAACAAGAGCAAAACTCCATCTCAAACAAACAAACAAACAAAAACAAACAAAAAAACAAAACAAAACCCACATCTTGACATTATTTTTAACAAAATGGAACCACACTGCACACTAGTCTTGGTTCCTTTAAGAATGCAGTAATGGGCCAGGTGCAGTGGCTCATGCCTGTGATCCCAGCACTTTGGGAGGCCGAGGCAGGTGGATCACTTGAGGTCAGGAGTTCAAGACCAGCCTGGCCAACATGGCGAAACCCTGTCTCTAGTGAAAATACAAGAATTAGCTGGGCGTGGTGGTGGGCGCCTGTAATCCCAGCTACTTGGGAGGCTGAGGAAGCAAAATCCCTTGAACCCAGGAGGCAGAGGTTACAGTGAGCCGAGATCATGCCACCATGCCACTGCACTCCAGCCTGGGTGACAGAGCAAAACCCTGTCTCAAAACAAACAAACAAACAAACAACAACAAAAAAACAGAACATAGTAATGGATGCCTTATCAAATTTTAACACTTGGTTATCTGAGGAAATTCTTGTTACAATTTGTCAATAAGCTACATTTTATAGTAAGCAGCTAAATACAGAAGTTGGGGCTTCCCATCAAAACAAGGTCCTTTCTAAGCCTAGGGCAATCTAAACTTAACACTTATTTCCAACATTTCAAACACATTAAATTCATTTTAATACCAGCTCAGTGTGTGGTATTAAAACACACAGATATGGCAATTAACTTTCTATTGGAGGAAAACAGGAACAAATTAAAAAAAGACAGATTCTCATCACTCTGATAAATTTTCACTTTTTTGCAGGTCACCATAGTGACAGCTAATCAACATGATCCTTTCATTTCTCAACTCGTCTTCAGATAAAGCAAAGGACGGCATAAGACAGACAATAGAGGGAAGGAGTTTAAGTTGTTATTGGTGCATACAGTAGGTACTAAAATGCACTGAATTAAAAATAATCAGCCTGTTGTTCCAGTACATATGACATATGGCTATAATTTTAAAATCCAGTCAAAAACAACTGTTTCCTGGCCGGGCGCGGTGGCTCACGCCTGTAATCCCAGCACTGTGGGAGGCCGAGGCGGGCGGATCACGAGGTCAGGAGATCGAGACCATCCCGGCTAAAACGGTGAAACCCCGTCTCTATTAAAAATACAAAAAATTAGCCGGGCGTAGTGGCGGGCGCCTGTAGTCCCAGCTACTTGGGAGGCTGAGGCAGGAGAATGGCGTGAACCCGGGAGGCGGAGCTTGCAGTGAGCCGAGATTGCGCCACTGCACTCCAGCCTGGGCGACAGAGCGAGACTCCGTCTCAAAAAAAAAAAAAAAAAAAAAAAAAACAACTGTTTCCATTACTTTATAATTGCAATACTTGTTTTACACATTCTATCATGTATCACTTTAAAAAAATAGTTTAAAAATATGTTCTTCTGTAAGTATCCGTACTGTTAAAGGTTTCCTCACGTCTTCTGAACTTACATGAGCTCATTGTTTCTGATGATCTTTACAGCCACTTCTTGGTTGGCTCTTGCATTATCTCTGGCTCGTACAACATTACTGAATACACCTTGCCCAGTGTAGCCATACACATTGTAACGTTTATCTAGGACTTCACCTATGTTCACACCTAAAAAGGCAAATTGAAAAATTAGAATTCTGACTATAATAAATAGAATCAGAAAGTAGGAAACACAGTGCAGTCATTTAAAAATTGTGTTAAATCTCTACTATTTGGTTTCCTAGACACAATGAAGAATCAAAGCCATGCCTCCACTGATCACTCTATCAGAGTGTGGTTAGAAGCTGCATGCCTACTTCAGATCACTACAAGAGTTCCTGTTGTCCTATCAACTGCTGATGATTTTAACATTAAGTTTTTCCAATTGTAGTCCCGCATGACAAATACCGCATGACTGGCATCCAAAGTTTCCTGTTTGTCGTTTTTCTTGGTTTCAGATCAAGACGAGTAAGTGACGTACCCCTTCCTTCTGGAAGACTATCTCATGGCTGAAAATAATTTTGAATATATTTAGGTTGTACATCAAGACTTTACCTCACTCCATTTGTGATGTTTCTGGGCTGCTTTTAGAATACACACGAGTTCATGCAGCTGTTGGATGTGCCACAATTTTTAAAGATGGCACTGTGATGTGATTTTTCAGAGTTCTCCAATAATCTGTGATTGCATCAAGCAGCATGCTTTTGCATGGTGTTACAATGAACTCTAAAGTTAATATAAAATGTGAACTTACGATAATAGCCTTCTGCATCGGTCCAGTTATCTCTGAGGTTGGGATTCTCTTTGAAATCTTTTCCAATGCCAGCGGCCCGAAGACGAGCACTCTGAAATTAAAGAGGCAACATGAACAGTTTACCCACTTGTCAGACATTTAACGCACTTCCTTTAAAACACAAAAGGGTAACACCAGATATAATTTAATAAAAGCATTTTATTCCAAATTAAATAAATTCTTACTATCACTTATGTAAATCCAACATAGCTGAAACATGAGACCAAAGTATCTTGATTCAAAATAACACTAAAAAAAAAAAACAAAAACCCCTCCCAGCCTGGGCAACACAGTGACACCCCTTCTCTACTAAAAATTAAAAAACAAAAAAAAAGCGCCAGGTGTAGTGGCATGTGTTTGTAGCCCCAGCTCCTTGGTAGGCTGAGGCAGGAAGATCGCTTGAGCTCAGGAATTCAAGGCTGCGGTGAGCCATGATGTCACTAATTACTGCACTCTGCACTTTAGTCTAGGACAGAGGGAGACCCTATCTCAAAACAAAAGAGAAAAAAAAGAAAATAACTCAAAACCAGATACAAATTTCTATAGCTGTTATACCATTTGTTATACCATTCTTCCCATACATGCATGAAATGTAGTAAGTCACTGGCTGCACTAGTTGACACTACGTGGAAAATTGAAAAATAAGAATATATGGTACTCCTGATTATTCTTTTTTTTTTTTTTTTTTTGAGACGGAGTCTTGCTTTGTCGCCCAGGCTGGAGTGCAGTGGCGCGATCTCCGCTCACTGCAAGCTCCGCCTCTCGGGTTCATGCCATTCTCCTGCCTCAGCCTCCCGAGTAGCTGGGACTACAGGCGCCCGCCACCACGTCCGGCTTATTTTTTTGTATTTTTAGTAGAGATGGGGTTTCACCGTATTAGCCAGGATGGTCTCGATCTCCTGACCTCGTGATCCACCCGTCTCGGCCTCCCAAAGTGCTGGGATTACAGGCGTGAGCCACCGTGCCAGGCCCTTCTGATGATTCTTTATTGCACCTTACTCTCCAAGATACCCAGAAGACTCTTCAATATCAACCAAGCAAATGAGTACTGACACCAAAACTGGGTCAATACTCATTTCATCCTCTCCTAATTCATTTATAGGTTGGTGTTCCTATTGCTCTGTGTGTGTGTGTGTGTGTGTGTGTGTGTGTGTGTGTGTGTGTGTACATATACATGACTATTTATCTTACCACATTTTTATTTTCCCTGTTACATTTATCTTCTCTACCTCCTCTTATGAAGGCCTCTTATTTCTCATGTCCTTTGAAATTTATATTGAAAATGTCCCCAAGTTTGACCACGTTCATAGTTTAAGACTTTTCCAACATAAGGCATCAATAAAAATTTAAGAAAAAAGTGGTGAAATCACCAAAATTTCTTAATCTACTCCTTATAACATTTCCAATTCTTCAATATTCTATTAATAAGTTCTCAATCACCTACTAATATAATATAGAGGCCCCAAAGTGGAGTCTATTCTAATAAAGACCTAGAAAATACTGTTATCTCCTTATGGCACCTAACTACCACATGTATGTGTATGTATTTAAATACACAATACTGTACAAATGACATGTTTATCATTTGGTGTTTGACTTTTATAAAGCTCTCAAATTGTTCTGCCATACCTGTCTTAAAATTTTTGACATTAATTTTAGACTTATAAGATGCAAAACTAGTAGAGTTTTCAGATTCCTTTCACCCACACTGTTCAAAATATTTATTACATTTGCTTTATTCTTCTTTCTCTATATGTATATACGCACCAATATATTTGTTATTTTTTTTTGTTTTAACACTTGATTTAAAATAACTTACATCAAAATACGCAGCAAACATATCATCAGATTCTGTAAACATATCAGGTGCCAACAACTTCTTCTGAGATGAACCTTAAAGGAAATTAGCATTAATGTTTGAAAAGTGAAGAGATGATTTAAAACACAAAATAAGTGAATGGGAAGTCATTAATAGTAATTCAAACTTTTTTGCCCTCTTGCACATCAGTTTCCCAACAGTATTCAATTTAGAATCACTTTATTAACATTTATGATACATAAAGGTATTCACTTTTTAGTAACAGAGTGCATTTCAGAAAGCTGAAAGACCGGCCGGGCATGGTGGCTTACGCCTGTAATCCCAGCACTTTGGGAGGCTGAGGTGGGTGGAACACCTGAGGTCAGGAGTTTGACACCAGCCTGGCCAACAAGGCGAAACCCCATCTCTACTAAAAATACAAAAATTAGTCGGGCATGGTGGCAGGTGCCTGTAATCCAAGCTACTTGGGAGGCTGAGAAAGGAGAATTGCTTGAACCTGGGAGAGGGAGGTAGCAGTGAGCTGAGATCACGCCACTGCACTCCACCTGGGCGACAGAATTGGACTCTGGCTCAAAAAAAAAAAAAAAAGTTGAAAGACCCAATGTTAACTTTTACTATTCTTAGTTTACATGAATAAGCTAATAGCTAAGCAATGACTTCACATTAAAATAAAAGCTCATCTTTAAAACATGTTATTTGCACCTTAAATCCCAAAAGGTTAATATTTCAACTATAGATCTAAATCTCTATGTATCTCTCCCTTTAAAAGTCCAATAATCCCACAGAAAACCTGGCTAAAAAATAAAAGGATTTTCTAGAAAAAAAAATCCAGTCGCTTTAACCATATGAATGCATGCTCATTATCACTTACATTAAGGGAAATGCAAATTAAAACTACAATGAGGTATCAATTTCTGACCTCTGATACTAGCTAAACATCCAAAAGTACAACAACATTCTGTTAACAAGGCTCTGGATATACAAGCACTCAGAAAGACGGCAAAATGGTACAACCCTTATAAAAGAGTGGAATTTGGTAATACATAGCAAAATTATATATTCACTCCCTCTTCTGACCCAGCAATCCCACTTCTAGGGAACTATCGTAAAACACAGTGGCCAAGAATTAAAGAATGACTTAATGCACAACACCATTATAATCAGTACCCAATGAATAGACAGAAACTGGACACAATTCAAATATCAAAGTCTGACTGAATAAACTATGGCGGAGCCTATAAAAAGGAGTGAGGAAAAGTATATCGATCTAAGTATGTATAGTTTGGTTTTGTGTGTGTAGGTAGGATACAACATATACACACATACATGCATACATGAAAGAATGTATTATTAAGAAAAAAAGATGATTCCTAAAAAACAAAAGCAAATGAAAATAAACCTAAGCCTATCAAATTTGTGGCATACCATACAGAGATTTCAAATGATTTTAAAAGACAGAGAATTGTGCCTATACAACTTAGAATGTATCCTAAAAACAACCACTGAAATTTTAAGCCACAGTTAGTATATGTAGTAATGATAATCATACTGATATCTAATGTGTATAAGTTTCAAGATAACCTATCTGTAATCATGTTAAGAACTAAATTTTTCACTGTAATAAGAGATAGAAATATAAAATCATAAGTTAATAAACCCCAATAATCTCAATTTTAAATTGGCAATATCTGTGTAAACTCCTCCTTTCCAAAAGAGTATCTACTTCCTAACTTTGTCCAGTGCAAAGGCCCAGAAATTACAGACACTAGTAAGTGTGCTGTGATGTCTAAATGGCATTTCCTATTAAATGGAACCAGGGATCCTTGGAGAAATAGCTGATTCTGCTCTGGGCAGGACATGCACAAGATAAACCTGTGCATCTTGCTAGAGCAGGAGTCGGTAAACTATATACAGACTGTGAGCCAAATCTAGCTGGCTGCTTCTTTCTGTATGGCCTACTTTTACATTTGTAAGTGTTCGGGGGTGGGGGAACAGAATACTTTGTGGCAAGTGAAAATTAGATGAAATTCAAATTTCAGTGCCAAAGTTTTTTCTGGAACACAGCCATGTCCGTTCAACAGTGTACTGTCAGCTGGGCGTGGTGGCTCACGCCTGTAATCCCAGCACTTTGGGAGGCCGACAGGCAGATCACGAGGTCAGGAGATCGAGACCATCCTGGCTAACACGGTGAAACCCCATCTCTACTAAAAATACAAAAATTAGCCAGGCGTGGTGGCAGGCGCCTGTAGTCCCAGCTACTTGGGAGGCTGAGGCAGGAGAATGGTGTGGACCTGGGACGCGGAGCTTGCAGTGAGCTGAGATCGCGCCACTGCACTCCAGCCTCGGTGACAGAGCAAGACTCTGTCTCTTAAAAAAAAAAAAAAATAATAATAATAATAATAACCATATATTGTCTGTGGCAGGTTCTGCCCTCCAACAAGTTCACTATATGGAACTGTAAAGGAAAAGGCCAATATAATTACTAAAGGCTCAACCATTTACTATCTAACCTCTTAGACAAAAAGTTTGCTGGTTCCTGTTCTAGAAAGTAAGAAAGCTATATTGAATACTAAAGGGCTGGGGCAAAAGGACAAGAGAAATCAACTGAAAAAGGGCTCCTTTCCCCAACCCAGTTAGAGAGACCAATCTAGCTTCAGAAAGAAAAATAACAGCACCAGATCGAAACACATCAAGCACATAATGACACCAAATGATGAACACCTAACAAAACAGTCAAAATCTCATTAGACATCTCTGGAGGTTGTTAGGACACCAACTGTATTCTAAAAATTGGTAAATAAAGAAAATAATAAACATGTATTTACCCTGCCTTTCCTATACAAACTATCTTTTGGGGTAACCAAAAAGTGGAAACCTCTTATTTAATGTTTTAAAACATTAATGTTCTTAACTGACAGAGACACAAACAAGTACCCAGAAGGGGAATAAAATCATAATTGGATTTGCTTTAAAATAGCAAGCAAAACAAAAGGTAACGAATATGTGAGAGTTCAGTATACTATTCAGGATATGTGAACTAATAAAAACACATTTATAGAGAACATTTCTAAGGACATATTTAATATTATATTACTGCAATATTCAGCAGAAGCAACATGTCTAATCTTTTACTTTTCCTAATCCCACCCCAAATAACGTCTCTTATTATAAAGTTACAGAGCTAACAATTCAGAGAAAAGCGTCGCCAGGACAAAACTCTCTCACCATTATTCTGTTCAACTGTCATTAGATTATGCTTGGCTTTCACTGAGGCCTCAAATGTATCAACATTTTCCCGTTCATACTCTTTAACATCAGCAGCTACTCGCTCCAGAATGTCATCTGGAGATGGTGATCGTGTTCTCGTACTGCTCTGGGGGCTGCTTGGTTCAGATGGCACAGACATGTTGCTATCTTCAGCAAGGTATTTATATTTCTGTAATAACAATACAGAAGATAATACTTTCATAAAATTGGATGCTATCCAAATACATTCATGGCTAAGAGTTGCTGCAGTGAAAAGTTAAGAGAACGTATCAAATAATGTAACAAACCAAATGGTATTTATTGGTTCAATCAAATCTGCAATCCCTTATGTAATTTCTAAATTCACAAAAATCTGAAAAAGTTTTTCTTTCTTCAGTGCACATTCATCAGGTGGCAGCACTGGACCTGATCAGATGAGGCACCATTTATTGTCTTATTTTCTCCCCAGTGTGACTACTACAGTATGCCTCACTGTAGAAATATTAACGTGTTTGATTATGGGGTCTGCTGCAGACCCCACTGATGGCACATAATAGATGCACCATATCACCTTTCTAAAACTCAAAAATTTCTGAGTTCCAAAGCACATATGGCCCCAAGGGTTGGAGGTAAGGGGTTGTGGACCTGAGCAAGAATAAAAAAAGATTCATCCACATCTTCAGGGATATCAGTTTATTAACTACAATTTTACCAGTGTCCCAGAAAAGTAAGCTTCCTCCGGAATTAGTTTTGCCCTACTTCCTTTCTGGTGATGCAAGTTCTGTCCTTCACTCCAACGTGGCACACTATTACCTGATTTATGGTTTGCTATGTGTGTTTAGGTAAGCTGCCACAGCTGTTTTCTCCTTTTGTCTTCGAAGGAAGAGCTGACAACCTTCCAAGTCACCAAACCTTATAATTAAATGGCTGTATCAAGATCTTTGTATAACATTCTTTCCCCACCCAATCTTCTTCATCATCTGGCTCTAGTCTTAAAATTATTTTTCAAATGTTTCATTTAAACCACCATATTCACATTACAAAACTTGCCATTACTAAATATTAAAATATTTACTTTATTCACACAGTAACATGCATAATTTTTTGCTAAATAAAATTCCTCCAGTTTATTCTATACTCATACGTGTTCATTAACTTAAAAAGAAAGCAAACTTCAGATTCTCATGTTTTACAGAAGAGGTTTACATCAGAATTCTATGTATAAACAACCAGAATTCTATGTATAACCAACAAAGAGCAACCATCTCAGTTTTAGTAACTAAAAAAAGATCATTTTTTCAAACTTCACAAAGATAATTTTATATATACTATCCTTTTCTAAGGACCTGTTCAACTGTTATTAATGCTACATTTTTGTTAAAGCAAAAAAATCTTTTACTACAATAATGGTTATTTTTCATTAAAATCACATACCTGAACAATTGCCTGCCTTTGGATTCTTCTCTGTTCTATTAGGGCTTCTTCATCTTCTTCCTCTACATCAAAGTCTTCAAGGCTTAAAGAAAAATTCAAACACCCTTAAGAGATTCTAAAACCATACCCCTTATACATTTTAAAGTTAAAGGCAGGAAAATGTAGGTATCAGTAAGTTAGAGCAAAAGTCTTAAGTCCTATTACTTTTGTTTCCAAACCATCTCAGTTAACTGCCTGGTTTGGAATGTGGGGAAGTAACCTAACCTTTGTCTCAGTTTTCTTCTCATCTATTTCATGGCACCAAAATTGGGAATAAAAGAAATAACTCCAGGTTTACAAAAGTTGCCACTAGTTTTTCCATGACCTTAGTAAAGTCACTTTACCTATCTAGCCTTAGTTTTCTCACCTATAAAATGATGGCAAGGGTAAGATAAGTAAATTGCTACCTTTTCTGGATGTCAGAACCGCCTGAAAGCTCAAGAAAGCTATACCCGTACTTCCCTATCAAAAATGCACATGCAAATATTTGCATATAATCTGAAGGGGAATGTGGCTCTACTCCGCAACACTGCCCCCAACCCTCCGCACTAACCCTCAAATACCACCTCCACAATCTTTATGATCCTTCCCAGTGCAACTTTTTCAATGATCTTACCTGCTGAATGTTCGCTGCAGAAGAATAGGCAAACTATACTCTGATTCTATCAGAATCTATGTAGAATGCCCTTCTCCCATCCAACTTTAATCACCTGGTTTTAATCAGGGTTTTTCATCCTTAGCATGATTTGTTTTTTGATATGGATAGTTCTTTTTGTGTGTGTGTGTGGGGGGTTATCCTGTGCATTGTAGAATGCAGTATCCCTGGCCTCTAGCCAACAATCACAAGAAATGTCCTCAGACATGTCCCCAGGGAGGCTAATAACCTCCTGTTGAGAATGGCTCTAGATTTGTCCCATTTATTTTTGAGATATTCCACTTAGACAATCAAGTCTGCATTTTATTTATTTTTGTTTTTTGAGACAGGGTCTCACTCTTTTTGCTCAGGCTGGAGTGCAGTGGTGTGATCAAGCTCACTTCAACCTTCTCCCCCCAGGGTCAAGTGATCCTCCCACCTCAGCCTCCTGACTACAGGCGTGTGCCACCAGGCCTGGCTAATTTTTGTATTTTTTGTAGAGACAGGGAAAAATGTCCCCACAATTGTATTAGACACTTGAAATGTTTCTACATTTTCATGTTGTAAAAAGGACACTCATCACAAAATAGCCTCAATTGCAAAGTATGTATCATCTAACACAAACTCAAAGTTCTAAACTTTTATAGAAAATTCCTCCCAAAATCTAGTAACTCTGGCCGGCAGGACTAATGTATGTATTGTTCATAATAAAAACAAAGGGTAGGCTCACAATAAAATGAAGGCCCAATGTTCACTCCAGCCAAAGCTGAAACACCTACATTCAGAAAACCGCTTACTAACTCTGTGATACAACCTACACAATATTCACAAAAGACTAACTTTTAAATTCAGAGCCAAATTAATGGAGCCACTTATAATATTTAGGTGGATATTATTTAACAATTTCCAAGTCAAATAAGACTTCTCTAAACTGGAAAAACAAAGTTATGGGTAAGTTCTATTCTTACTTATCATCAGACGAAGATTCCTGCTCAACTTTCATTCCTTCAGAAAGACTTCCTTTAAATTTATCTTCCTTTACTTTGCTTCTGCTCCTTCGTCTACGACCACCGCGTGATCGAGACCGCCTTCGCAAGCGTGATCTGCTCCTCCGACCTCTGTCCCTATTTAAAGAAGAAAAGACAGGTATACATTTTTTTAAATGTCAAAGTGGGAAAGGCATGCATGTGTGGGCACAGGGGATATATAGAAATTCTACTTTCTACTCAATTTTGCTGTAAACCTAAAACTCTTCTAAAATATAGTCTATTTTTTAAAAAGGTCGTTTGAAAATTTTAAGTAAAAGAACAGAACATCAGAAAGACTGAGATAACCAGCTTAGCTGAAGATAACTAAAACATACCTACTCCTTATCAAACTCTGAACTAAGAAATTCTTCCCATGGATATGAACTTGAACTTGAATATAAGCTCTATGGGGATAAATACCTACTGTTTCTTTGTATTCGTACAGCACCACGGTTGTATACACAGGCACTGGAGTGAAGGGAGAGACCGAAAAGGGGCAAAAGGGAACTTGGAGTGATGAAAACGTTCTCTAACTTGAGTGTGACTTATGTGTCTGTCAAAATTCACACAACTTTACAACAAAAAGCATTTTACTTTATGTAAGTTATATGCATGTTTCAATGAGCTCAACTTAAAGAAACCTCACTAACATGACAGTAAATGAGTACTTAAAAAAAAAAAAACTGGGGGCTGGGTGCAGTGGTACACACATATAATCTCAGCACTTTGGGAGGCCAAGGCAGGCAGGGAGCTCGGGAGTTTGAGACCAGCCTGGGCAACATGGCAAAACCCTGTCTCCACAAAACATACAAAAAAATTAGCTGGGTGTGGTGGTGCGTGCCTATAGTCCCAGCTACCGGGAGGATTCCTTGAGCCCAGGAGGTTGAGGCTGCAGTGAGTCGTGATCACACTGCACTCCAGCCTGGGTAACAGAGCAAGATCCTACCTCAAGAAAGAAAAGAAAAGAGGAGAAGGGAGAGGGGAGAGGAGAGAGAGAAAAGAGAAAGATCGGAGGGGAAGGGAGGGGTGGGGTGGGGAGGGGAGGAAAACCCTCAGGCAAGGAGAATGTCAAGAGAGATGATAGCAGAGATGAGAATAAAATCTTAGAATGTGCAAATTGGAGTAAAGAATAGTAACAGATCAAATTGAGCTGAATATTGGTCCAACATGAACACACAAGGTAAATCAGAAACAGTCAGAACATGTCACAACACCCCCAGAAAGCCTCAGGAATTGGAGACTCCCTATCCTCTGCAAGATGGTGTGAGGTAAGAGCTGAGGACAGAATTGGTTGAAAGCCTTTATAAACAGCCAGACTCGGTACAGTCCCCTCCCCAACTCAGTGGAAAATGTCAACCACTCCCTTCACATTCTAGCAGAACACTTAAGATTTGCTTTCTAGAGAAGGGTTGGTCACTCCAGATGCTGAGAGGCACATACCAAAGATAGACAGATTATAAGGAAGTTTACATTATGAAGGAAGAGAACTCTACTGGTAGCCAGGTCTATTTCCCAGGAGGAAATGAAAGGATTCCGGAAAACTCATAGCCCAAGAAAATACATCTACAGTCACTAATATCCAAAAATATCTAATTACTCTGAAGTGATAACCACTAGCTGACAAGTCCTACACTGTCACAATAGAAGAAAAATCCCATTCAGCTTTCTCAGTACCTAAATATTAACTCAGAATAGGCAGCAATGAAGGATCCAGCTGTGTGAGAAAAGTCTTCAAATGAAAAGTAAACATGCAGCAAAAGGAATCTGGGAAGAAACACAATATAGCAAAGAAAACTATAAAGAACAAAAATCTCACACAATAACCTCGCTATTGTCTGAGAGACAGAAAATACTATTTCCAGAAAACATGAATAAAATGTTAATACGTGGAACAATATAGAAGGTCCAATTGGAAAAAACAGAAAGAAAGAAAGAAAGAAAAAAAAAAGCACAAAAATTTCCCAGAAGGCCATAAACTCCCTGCTTTAAAGGGCCTATCTAGTAATTAGCAAAATAAATGGGGATAAAGATCTACATACCGAGGCACATAATAAATTTCAGAACACAAGACATTTTTTATAAAAAGGGAAGAGAGAAAAAAGCAAGTCTTGAGATCAGCTTGGAGCAAGAAGACTAGCAGTGTCAGAAGGGAGGTCCTCTCTTCCCTCCTCTCCCAACTATTTGCTCAGCAATGAATACATACAGGATCACAATGATTATACTGACTCTAGAAGAACAAAAAAGTGTGATGAAATTAGGCAAAAGCGAAACATGAGTAAGCGGTAGTATTAAAAACCCTCATTGTGGCTGGGTGCAGTGGGCCAAGACGAGCGGATCATTTGGGGTCAGGAGTTCGAGACCAGCCTGACCAACATAGTGAAACTCCATCTCTATTTAGAAAAATACAAAAAAAAAAAAGCTGGGCATGGTGGCATGGGCACCTCTAGTCCCAGCTACTTGAGAGGCTGAGGCAGAATTGCTTGAACTCAGGAGGTGGAGGTTGCAGTGAGATCGCGCCATTGCACTCCAGCGTGGGCAACAGAGTGAGACTGTCAAAAAATAAAATAAAATAAAATAAAATAAAACCCCTCATTGACCAGAGTGCACTCAGACCATGCATTTCCATTTCTAGGAATACAGCATACAAAAATTCTGAGAGATATGTAAAGATGGCTATAATATAAGCCTTTGTTTCTTAAAAATTATATTCATTTATTACTTCAATTAAAAATGTTAAAAGATTGGCAAACAAATACCCATTTATGTTTTATATTAAAATATTTCATGTATGTATGAATTTTAAAAAATGATTCCCTGCTTTATAAACCACCTTTTTAACCTATTACTGACTACATATGCTTCAGATAAAATGGTTTCTATGGCAAATTAAATAGGCCTTTGCCTAAGTCTACAGTAACTATCAATATGCAAAATTAATATAAAATGTAAGAAACTGGGCTATATATTTACTACTACATGATCTACCTTGCTGGTTAAAAAAAAAAAAAAATCCCTAAGTCTGGCTCATTTAGTATTGATTGATAAAAGAGAGAAAAAAGTCCTATTTTTAAAAGACTAATTTTATTGCATCCTAAATGAGCAATGATTTGTTTAAAATTCAAAGGAAACGATATAAAAGAAAACCCATGTGTAGAGATTGCTGGTAAAAGGAAACTATGGGAACACAACTACGATTTTTCAGAGAAAACTGGTCTAAAAGAAAACCTACCAAGTGAGCTCACTGGTGGTTCAAAAACATTCAGAGTTTAATGAATCACAAGGATGAAATGTCTTTACCTTCTCCGAGGAGATCTGCTTCTTCTTCTTGGAGACCTGCTACGTCTGAGTGGGGAACGAGACCTCCTTCTAATGGGAGATCTACTTCTTCTTCGGGTTGGAGACCATCTATTGATGGGGCTGGCATCTTTTGATCTTTCACGTCTACTGAGGATATCATCTCGAGGTCGTGTTCTTAAGGGGATCAAATGCAAGTTAAAAGAAATATAAATCAAAGTAAATGATTTTTTTCTATATGCAAAGAACATCTGTAAGAAAAGGCACATTAGCCTAAAGAAAGTGAACTTTGATTAATGTGTTTTGTAACAAAACTTACTCAGGTGACTACAGTGATATTTTGGTGTTATTGCAGGCAAACAATGAAAGGTCTTATTTCCTCTGGTCCCACAGTTTGAAAAATTACTAAAGGTTATTCATACCGGTAAAGTCACTGATTCTAATTTCAAATAAACCAACTCAAATAAAACCTCCCCAAGTGAGTATAATACTCCATTTACTCAAATATTCCATTTTCATTGACGACTTTTTCTTTCTACATCCTGACATTTCTCCAATTAAGGATCTTTTTTTTTTTTTTTTTTTTTTGAGACAGGGTCTAACTCTGTCACCCAGGCTGGAGTGCAGTGGCGCAAACACGGGTCACTGCAGCCTTGACCTCCCAGGCTGAGGCAATCCTTCCACTTCAGCCCCCCTGAGCAGCTGGAACCATAAGGGCATGCCACCACACCTGACTAATATTTTGTTTTGTAGTGATGGGGGTCTCACTATGTTGCCCAGGCTGGTCTCGAACTCCTGGCCTCAAGTGGTTCTCCCTTGGCCTCCAAAAGTGCTGAGGTTACAGGTGTGACCCACCATGCCCGGGCAAAAATCTTCTTTTTAATGTCAAGTATAATAGGCCAGGCACAATGGTTTACACTTGCAATCCCAGCACTTTCAGAGGCTGAGGGAGGACCGCCTGAGCCCATGAGGTTGAGGCTGCAGTGGCTGTGTTTGTGCCACTGCAGCCCAAGTGACAGAGTGAGAACTTGTCTCAAAAAAACAAAAACAATAGCTAGGTGTGGTGGCTCACACTTGTAATCCCAGCACTGTGGGAAGCTGAGGCAGATGGATCACTTAAGCTCATGAGTTTGAGACCAGCCTGGGTAACATGGCGAAACCCTATCTCTACAAAAAATATCAAAATTAGCCAAGTGTGGTGGCATGTGCCTATAGTCCCAACTAATAGGGAGGCTCAAGTGGGAGGATTGTGTAAGCCTGGGAGGCAGAGGTTGCAGTGAGCAGAGATCATGCCACTGCACTCCAGCCTGGGTGACAGAGTGTGACCCTGCCTCCAGTCTCCCCAGAAAAACCCCACAAAAACCCAACTTTTCAACACTTATCACACAAGTACCTTTCAGTGAGTTTTACTCTTGTTTAATGTGATATTTGTATTACAACAGGCCTTTCTACAGCTTAATTTTTTAAAACAGGTTTTGAACATTTCTTAATGTTATTCCAGGTTTGGTCACAACTATTCAATCTGAACAGTCAGATTGTAAATAGGTTTGTCTCCATAATCAAATAATATTACAGTATTTTCCTCATTTATTATTATTATTATTTTTTGAGATGGAGTTTTGCTCTTGTTGCACAGGCTGTAGTGCAATGGTGTGACCTCGGCTCACTGCAACCTCTGTCTCCCGGCTTCAAGAGATTCTCCCGCCTCAGCCTTGAGTAGCTGGGATTACAGGCATGAGCAACCACGTCCAGCTAATTTTATATTTTTAGTAGAGACAGGATTTCTCCATGTCGGTCAAGCTAGTCTCGAACTCCTGACCTCAGGTGATCCACCCGTCTCAGCCTCCCCAAAGTGCTGGAACACAGGCGTGAGCCACTGCAACTTGCCTTCCTCATTTAATAAAAACCTAAAAACACAACCTGCCTTGCATGTTTCAGCACGGTATACAGAACCCAAGAATCCTTCTCTGATCCAGCCAAAATGAGCAAGGTAGACTTTGATTCAGATCTGTAGTGCTTACTTCTTGGTAGTGCTTACTTCTTGATAGGGCCATCTGAGGAAACTCTTTTATTTAATCTGCTCACATACACGCACAGCCTCAAAAGACCAGTTAAAAAATATAAATGGGCTGGGTGCGGTGGCTCACGCCTGTAATCCCAACACTTTGGGAGGCCAAGGCAGGCAGATAACCTGAGGTCAAGAGTTCGAGACCAGCCTGGCCAACGTGGGGAAACCTCATCTCTGCTAAAAATATCAAAAAAAAAAAAAAAAAAAAAAAAAAAAAAAAATTAGCCGGGCGTGGTGGCGCACACCTGTAG
Source organism: Homo sapiens (assembly GCF_000001405.40). NCBI lineage: Eukaryota > Metazoa > Chordata > Mammalia > Primates > Hominidae > Homo > Homo sapiens. The sequence goes on along the minus strand of NC_000006.12, from coordinate 4,035,254 downwards.
TCCCAGCTACTCGGGGAAGCTGAGGCAGGAGAATTGCTTGAACCCAGGAGGCAGAGGTTGCAGTGAGCCAAGATCACACCACTGCACTCCAGCCTGGGCGACAGAGCGAGACTCCATCTCAAAAAAACAAAACAAAACAAAACAAAAACAACACACATATATGTGTATATATATGTATATATAAATGGATGGGATAAAGTAAACTAGTATAAAAAGAACAGAGTGTTGTCTGCTAAAATGCAATGAAAATAAACAGTGGCTCAGGCCTGTAATCCCAACACTTTGGGAGGCCGAGGTGGGCGGATCACGAGGTCAGAAGTTCAAGACCAGCCTGGCCAACATGGTGAAACCCTGTCTCTACTAAAAATACAAAAATTAGCTGGGCATGGTGGTGCGTGTCTGTAATCCCAGCTACTTGGGAGGCTGAGGCAGGAGAATCGCTTGAACCCAGGAGGCAGAGGTTGCAGTGAGCCGAGACCACGCCACTGCACTCCAGCCTGGCAACAGAGCAAGACCCCATCTCAAAAAATAAAATAAAATAAAATAAATAAATAAAAATAAAGAAAATAAAAATGTTCACCCTCACTAGTCACCTAAGAAATTTCGATTAAAACAATTTTTGGGTTTTTTGTTCTGTTTTTAAGAGTGACAAAATACTATATGGTATCCTGGTAATAAAGGTTTTCCTAAACTTTCCTAATACAGTTTCAGGAAAAGGGGCAGTTCACATAGTCATAGAAGTAGAAGTAGAAATTGACCTAACTTTCCTGGATGGAAATTTAGCAATAACTTTCTACAATGTAAATGTACATACTCTGAGACTTTGCAAGTCCACTTCTATGAGTCTATTCTATAAAGAAACCTCACATATAACCAAGGCACATCTTCGCATATAATAGTGAAAAACTGGAACCAACCTAAATTTTTCATCAGTTTCAATAGGAGAATGATACTATAATACATCTACACTGAAATACCAGTTGCTGTCAGGCAGAATGAAAAACAATCTATATGTTTTGTCGCAGAAATGTTTCCTGAAAAAAGCAAGCCACATGTGAATATGAATAATATGACTCCAGTTTTGTTAAAAAAAAAAATTCCCTTATATTCATGTTATTGTCTGTACAAGGAAAGACCTAAGATAAAGTAAATTTCTAAGGAGTGGTAGTGGAGAAATGAAAAGGGAGACAATTTACAGGCTTATTTGGATTTCTCTTTAATAAGTAAGTATGCATCACTTCTGTAATTTAAAAAAATATTTTTGTTTCAAATACTCAGCTCTAGTCCTTAATAAACTCCTCAGAATTTGCTCTTCAAACAAAGCAAACTGAAAGACCACCAAGATAATTAAGAAGCACTTGAGATAACAGAATCAGTAAAACTAATCACTGCCTCAATCCAGGAAGCCAAAGGAAAAAGGGGCTATTTCATTACAGTGCCACTCAGAAGTAAAGAATCAAGACGCTCTTAAGACACAGCACTTGGAAATAAAATTTGAAATTTCTCTGAAAATATGATGACTTCACTTTCAGGGTGAGTTTATATTTATACCCATTCACAGAAAATATTATTATGAACACAGTAAACGGCTAGGAATTAATAACATCCTTATATAGTATAAGCCAATACTCTTTTAATAAGCAAAACCTAGCTGGCAATTTCATAATACTTAAATACTAAATACAAAAAAGACATTAAGAAATCTGTTTCTAAAGTAGTTTAAGTGGTATAAACACTCCTCCCCGCAAATACTTCCGTTCTATGATCCTACGTAAATTATATACATTCTCTGATTCTATTTCATTTATAAATTAGGTATGAGAGCCCCTTCACCTCATGAGTTAAGATAATCACATGAGGATTTATAAGAACTAAGACAATATATTATTCAAATAGTACAAAATAATTTCATATACTATTCTTCTTAAGCTTAAGAGATACTACTTTTCAACAATGAGATTATATGTATTAATACAAAATTTTCCATTTTAATTATACTTTGGGGACCAAAAAATATTGGTATTGGTTTCTATTTATACTGTTAAAATTTAAAACTCATGCAAATACAAGAGAATGAACAGAACACAATTGTTAAACTGATTACCTTTCCCCCTTTTCAAAGTTAAGAGTTTCAGCCTACACTGTTCATGAAGTAATAATCCTCTCTCTAAACGCCCCCAATGAAGATTTATCAGCCAAATTACATGGATTGAAAGGAGTGCCTTAGCAAACTAGGTATTAAATCAAGAATGTGAAAAAACCCAATTCTATCATCAAGCTCAGTATTTGTTAAACACCTATACTTAAAATACTCATCGAAAAAAGTGCAAATATTAACATGGTTAATGGATTGGGTTACTTAAAATTATGAAACTCATTACTACTTCATTTATTTTTATTTTTACTTACTACTTCATTTTTAATGGTCCACAAGTTCTAGTTTTCCGTTTAAAATCTCATGCACTGGTAAAAAGCTTTAACATTTTGTACACAAGTTACCTTGGAGAAGAAAGTCGTCTCCTCTCTGGTTCTCGTCGTTTTCTTTCTAAGGATCGGCTCTTGGCTCTTCTCCCAGGAGACAGTGTCCGCGAGGGGGATTTGCTCTGCTTAGATCTTCTATCATTCAAAAGTGGAGACCTGCTTCTTCTTGATTTATCACGTGGTTTTGGAGACAAACTTCTTCTTTTAGGACTACGACCAGGTCTTCTGCTGGGTGACCTATTTTCTTTCCCAGATGAAGCATCTTTAGAGGGAGATTTAATTGGCTTCTTTTCTTTATCAGTTTCAGACCGTTTTGATTTTCTCTCTTTGGACCGTGACCTTCTGTCTTTGGATTTACCTCTTAAATCAACTGGGGATCTGGATTTTTTACCTCGATCGCGACTTCTACTTTCATTTATAATTGGGGATTTTTTCCTATCTTTTGATTTACTTTTATCTTCAATTTTAACCTTATCATCAGTAGGAGATCTGGCCTTACCAATTTTCTCTTGAGATCGCCTTCTAAGGGTAGGGGATTTTGATTTCCTTGCTTGATCTTGAGACTTACTTCTTTTGGATGGGCTTTTAGATTTTTTCCTCTCCTTTGACTTGCTCCTAGTTGTTTTCTCTTTAACGATTTCAATACCCCCCTTACTTTTCTTTTTATCAGACCTATGTCTAGTCCGTTCTTTGGATCTGCTTTTACTTCGTTTCTTTGTAGTAATTTTATTGTCCACAAGTTCAAGTTTCCCCTTTGTACTTGAAGATCTAGTACTAGACCTATTTCCATTTCTTGCCTTTTCATGAATTTCCCCCTCTTCTTCAGAGCCAGACTCATAACCTTGCAAAATGAGCCCCATACCAGACTGGACCTTTCCTTCCATTAACTCATTATCAAGTTCGGCCTTAATCAAGGCTCTCTGTTTTTCCAAGTCTTCTAGCAAAGCTAAATCATCAAGTTTAGTTCTTTTTGCTGGAGACATACCCTCTTTATCAGAAGCATCAATAATCTCTTTTCTTTTGTGTTTCTTATGTTTATGCTTATGTTTATGTTTTTTATCCTTGTCTTCTTCTGAGGAATGTTTATGTTTCTTATGTTTACTTCTGTGTTTATGCTTCTTTTTTTTGTGACGACTGTGCTTATTTTGAGACTGGTCTTCTGATACTTCTCCATTTTCTTCATTTATACTCTTTTCAGAATTAGCATCTTCCATCCTATAAATATATCAAACACATTTTAAAATCATATCATTTATCAAGTATTCAAAGAGCCATAAGAAAATAACAGTAATGAGAAAATACATCTCAATGTAATACATGAAGTCAGTCACTAAAATTTTTTCAGAACAGCTTCAGACATTTTATTTCAAAGAAGGTCTACGGCAAGAACTGAGTTGGATAGTGATACAACTTTATTGTGTTTCTAATGGTTGAACTCACCAAAAGTATTAGAGGAAATCCCTAATGGAGTGAGCTTAAAAAGTACAGGTTAGAGAAAAAGGGAAAAGCAAACCAGGCACAGCAAAACCTCATTAACATTGATTTAGTACAAGAAGCCACTCAGTAACTTAATTTTTAAACCAACATTTCTCACACATTAACAACCAAAGGGCCCGTTTTCTTTTTTAATAAGACCTACTAACTATTAACATACACTGGAAGACTAATCTCCTTCTCCACTTGAAATTCATGAAACTTGGTGTCTCTACAGTAAACCCAGCAGGTCACTTGTTTTGAGCAGATTTCATCTTATACCTTAAAAACAAAGCAAAACAAAACAAAACTCTAGAGCCAATACTGAGCTATACCCAAAATAAGCACTCAATCAATGTGCATTGGTAGCTGATACTGATGATGGTGATAGTATAAACACATCCTCACAAGTTGAATCTTCAAAGTGAACTAAACCGGAAGTTAGGACTCTAGGCTTGTAGTAAGCAATCATACGACATTAGGCTGAACCACATGGAAGGGCCTTTTGTAAGTCAACAAGTCTAATATCAGTAATTTAATACAGTACAGCCCAATATTCATTCAGCAAGTGATTTAATCTCTCTGAATTTCAAATGAGAACTCAGTTTCCCAAAATACATTTACATTAACAGATGCTATGGAAATAAATAAATAAAGTGGGGGATTCTGTGCTTAAATGTTTGGCTTATGCTGAGTTAAAAAGTTTATGATTCTAAATTACGTTGTCGAGCCCTTGGTGTTTAAGAATCCCAAGTTAAATACTGGTTCAAAAGCACTATTTAACTTTCTCTTTAAAAGTTACTCCATAATAAACCATCATCCTAGAATATCAGACCAAAAGTGGCCTTAAATTATCTAGATTCAGGCCATCATACTATTTTTGGAGGAAGCTATGGATTATTTTGTCAGGTCTTCATATTATATACTCCTATACTTTTAGTAAGTTTATCCTTGCAACCTAAGAATTCATCTGTCTACTCACAATCTCTTTAACATTTAAAAAAAACTCACCAACCATGGGTAAGCATTAAGCCACGCGGCAGGAAAACAGATGTACAAGCCAGGCATGGTGGCTCACGTCTGTAATCCCAGCACTTTGGGAGGCCAAGGTGGGCAGATCACCTGAGGTCAGGAGTTCAAGACCAGCCTGACTAACATGGGGAAACCCCCTCTCTACTAAAAATACAAAAATTAGCCAGATGTAGCGGCACATGCCTATAATCCCAGTTACTCGGGAGGCTGAGGCAGGAGAATCTCTTGAACCTGGGAGGCGGAGGCTGCAGTGAGCCAAGATTGCGCCATTGCACTCCAGCCTGGGTGACACAGTGTGACGCAGTCTCAAAACCAAAAAAAAAAAAAAAAGAAAGAAAACAGATTACAAAACCAGTATCTGCCTCCTTCAAAGAAATTAATGTCTGGTGGAAAACTAAGTCACATGACATAACCATAAAATACTGGAGAAGTGCAATGATGAAGACACAAATAGGGGCATTATGGGAACACTGAAGGATCACCTAAACTAATTTCGAGAACGGTCAGGGACACTGTTTTGTAGATCACAGAAAGAAACCAATTTGTTAAGCAGGGATGTTAGGAGGAAAGAAGAAACGTTTACTGAGAAAGGACAGGGATTAAAAAATAAAGGTTGGCCCAGGCACAATGGCTCACATCTGTAATCCCAGCACCATGGAAGGCCAAGGCAGGAGGATCACTTGAACCCAGGAGTTCGAGACAAGCCTGGGCAACAGAGTGAGACCTCATCTTTATTAAAAATAAAAAAATTAGCTAGGTGAGACCTCATCTTTACTAAAAATAAAAAAAATTAGCTATTCAGGAGGCTGAGGTGGAAGGATTACTTGAGCCTGGGAGGTCAAGGCTGCAATGAGCCATGATGGGGCCACTGCACTCCAGCCTGGGTGACAGAGCAAGACCCTGTCTTTAAAAAAAAAAAAAAAAAAAAATTGAGTAACACCGCCCTAGAGAATGAGTAAGGAATTAACAAGAAGGGAAAAAGGGGCATTTCAAATAGAGAAAGAAGGTGACAAAAGGCAGTTATATATAGCAAACTTCAAGTCGATCAGTGTTGTGAAAGACACTGAGGTAAAGATTCCAAGTGGAGCCAGGCATGGTGGTGCACACCTGTAGTCCCAGCTACTCAGGAGGCTGAGGTGGAAGATCACTTGAGCCCAGGAGTTTGCAGCTGCAATGACCTATGATCACACCACTGCACTCCAGCCTGGGCAACAGAGAGAATCCTCCATCTCATTAAAAAAAAAAAAAAAAAAAAAGATTCCAAGTAGACCAATTCCAGGAGATAACAAGATAATATATGGTTCTAGGAGTGGGTAGTTGAGAGAGAATTAAAGGTTCACTGGAGTCACAGAGGCCCAGGAACTGCAAAAGTACGTTGTCTAGCCAGGTCTCATAGTCTTGAATAAACTTGCTGGGAGAAGGGGTGGGGGAGAGAGAATGGCGGTATGACTGAGAAGTTACTAATTAGTTGACAACAATGAGGGGGAGTGAAAAACACATAGCCACTACAGGGTACCATACTCAAAGAACTTTGATTTTTGGATGTCACATTGCCAACTTCCATTTCTGGCAGGAAAAGGTATTTAAGAGATGTGCAGAAGAAGCTACGTCCTCTGGTGAAAGTCAGGTTTTAATTTGGGTTGACTTCTCCCTAATGGAGTATGAGAAGACACATGACAAATACAGTAGTGTTCTCTGGATCATTAATTTTTCTCAAAGACTTGGAAAAAGTGCAGTATCTTGGTATTATAAAAACACCACCAGGCCATGTGCAGTGGTTCACACTTGTAAGCCCACACTTTGGGAGGCTGAAGTGGGAGGATTCCTTGAGCCCAGGAGTTCAAGGCCAGCCTGGGGACCATGGTGAGATCCTATCTCTACAAAAAAATTTAAATTAACTGGGTATGGCAGCATGTGCTTGTAGTCCCAGTTACTCAAAAGGCTGAGGTAGGATCACTTGAACCCAGGAGGGGATCACTTGAGCCCAGGAGTTAAAGGCTGCAGTGAGTCATGATCATGCACTGCACTCCAGCCTGGGCAACAAAGGAAGACCCTATCTCAAACACACACAAAAAACAAAACACCATCATTGTTTTATTATGGAAGGGAAAGAAGTCACATAGATTTCAGTAAAAAGATTCCAAGACATTTCAACTTTGTTCTTTATATAGGCTATATTCTCATCCTTTGTCCCCAGAAATCTCCCATCCCATAATCCAGAAGGTCTTTTTTTTCCTGAACCTTGACTTATAGGGGGAAAAGTCTGAGAAAAATTTAGGCTAATTCAAGTTATGAAGGTAGGAGAGTCTTTAAAGATTGAGAATGATCTTTAGGCGTATAAAATCTAAGTGCCCAAAGTACAAAATTCTAGTCACTAAGCTCAAATTCAAAATTACCTAAAGTTTTGAGTTTTAACTCAAGACTGTCCTCAAGACAAAGGACAGCTGAGTGGTTAAGCAGTCTCTGGAGCCAGACTGCCTGGGTTCAAATTCCAGTTTCATTACTTACTAGTTGTGTGGTCTTGGCAAGTGATCCTCAGGCATTTCATCTACATGACGGAGAAAACAATAGTACCTACCTGAAAAGGTGTTATGAAGTTTACACAGTGAATAGATGTTAAATGCTTATGACAGTGCCTAGCACGGACCAACCCCCACCCCACCCCCCCACCCCTCCGCCAAATAAGCTATTATTATTGTATAGATGCTAGATAAATATATTTATTCACAAAAATCCTGTGGAGCTGAGAGGGCTGCTAATAAGAATGTTATTTTTAGGAACAGCATCAAAGAGCATAGATTCTGGAGTCAAACTACCTGGTTTAAATGCTGCCTCCAACATGACAAAGCTATTGTGCCCTTAGGCAAGTTGCTCTTCTGTGCCTCGGTTTCCTCAACTGTAAAAAATGGGGTAATAGTACTGACAAATCATAGGCTTATGAAAATTAAATGAGTTCATAGTATAAAAGGCTGTCACACTAAGTGTTCAAGAAATGTCTCTCCATTTGAGTTGAGAATTTTGAGTTTCAAGGGACTTGCCTAAGGTCACACATACAACAAACCAGTGAGAAGGCTGTTATTTCAAGTCAGTCAAAAGATCTTCCATTTGATTAAGATGCTTTAAAAGTCAGATTATGTCACTACTCTTTGTGAAATTTTATTGCTTTCTACCTTATTCAGAGCAAAAGGTCCTATACTTACAGCCCCAACATCCCCCACACTCTAAACCTAACACTCTTCTCCCACGGTCACCCTGCTCCAGCCACACCATGTTCCTTGAATAGGCATACTCACATCTCAGGTACGTGGGACCTGTTTCTCCTGCCAGGAATGCTTTCCCCAGATACATGCATTCCTGGCTACCTTGGCCTACCTTGTCTTTGCTAAAACGTCACTTTCTCAAACAAGTTTTCCTGATCAATCCATTTTAAATGCAAAACCACTCCACTGCACACATATTCTCCTTCTGTGCTTAACATTTTTCTCCAAAGCAATTGTTACCACTAATATAATTCTTGTTTGTCTCTCCCTATCATAATGTAAGCACTATATGAGCAGAATTTTCATTTTAGTTCACTGCTCTATCTCTGAGGGCCTAGATTATCTAATCTATAGCAGGTGCTCAGTAAGTATTGTTTGTGTTAATTATATATATAGAATAACATAAGGCCGGGCACGGTGGCTCACACCTGTAAACCCAGCACTTTGGGAGGCCCAAGCAGGCAGATCACTTGAGGTCAGGAGTTTAAGACCAGCCTGGCCAACATGGTGAAACCCTGTCTCTACAAAAATACAAAAAACTAGCCGGGCATAATGGCGGATGCCTGTAATCCCAGCTACTCCGGAGGCTGAGGCAGGAGAAGTGCTTGAACCTGGGAGGCGAAGGCTGCAGTGACCCAAGATTGCGCCATTGCACTCCAGCCTGGGTGGCAGAACAAGACTCTGTCTCCAAAAAAAAAAAAAAAAGGCTGGGCACAGTGGCTCACACCTGTAATCCTAGCACTTTGGGAGGCTGAGGCGGGTGGATCACCTGAGGTCAGAAGTTCAAGACCAGCCTGACCAACATGGAGAAACCCCATCTCTACTAAAAATACAAAAAAATTAGCCGGGCGTGGTGGCACATGCCTGTAATCCCAGCTACTCGGGAGGCTGAGGCAGGAGAACTGCTTGAACCCAGGAGGCGGAGGTTGTGGTGAGCTGAGATCACACCATTGCACTCCAGCCTGTGCAAAAAGAGCAAAACTCTGTCTCAAAAACAAACAAAAAGCATATAAAAGTTGTCTAAAGCTGATTTACACTATCTATTATAGACTCTTAGAACTTGAAAGTTAAGATTTTTGCTTTGCTCAGTTTTATCTCCAGTGCCTCACACAGTGCACACACATAGTAGGCACACACCTATTTTCTGACTGCGTGATATTCAAAATTACTTACATTTCATCAACCCCTCCCAAAGGAAAATCAGTTTTTTGAACCTTATCTTTTCTAATGCTAACAATTTACAAAAATCTTAGGAGTTTCATTAAAAATTGTTAAGAGTCTACCCATAGAGGAATCAACTTCTATCAACAGAAAATCTAGCTCCTAGAGCTTCTGGGAATTAGAAATACATCATGATGACCAGTATCACTGTAGAAGGGTCATTCCCATGAGTGACTAGTTTCCATTGTAAATTAATGAGTATTATCTCAAGAAATAATGAGTAGGTTCCTGCTAAAAATGCTACCAGCTCGGTACAATCAGGTTAACCTTAATTATAGCATTTTCTTATACAGGGGCTAGGCATACAATGGATCTTTACCAGTCTCAACTCATCTCTCAATGCAAATGTCACAAATCACAACTAAAGTCTGACCAGGTCAATCTGGAAAACTTGAAACATTGAGTCAATGGCATAATGTATTACATACAATGGGCCTGTGCTAAAACAGCTAAATTAGCTTTATCATCAACGACTTTCTTCTAAAGCTCAAGAAAAAGGTTTCTTGTTAAGAAACCTAACGGCCCTCTTGGATAGTTTATACTGACAATAAATATAGGCCATATATATTTCATTTATATAAATTTACGCTTTAACATTAACATTTTACAATTTAATATCCCACATTTAGCCAAGTGGATGTGTATACCAACCTGGTCACAACAGGTTTATCACAAAATATTTATTGAGAACCTATTGAATATTGGATAACATTCTTCAGATCACATTATTTGGAAGCAAAGGTGAATGAGAAGTGCAGACAACATGGGGTTGCTTAACAGTATTTATTTGTTTTGTTAAGTTTTACCTTTTAAAAAACCCATGTCTTGAGGCACCCAGCACAATGAATGAAAATCGTGGAACGCCTTTAAAATAACATAGTCACGGTCAGGTGCAGTGGCTTATGACTGTAATCCCAACACTTTTGGGAGGCTGAGACTGGCGGATCACCTGAGGTCAGGAGTTTGAGACCAGCCTGGCCAATATGGTGAAATCCCGTCTCTACTAAAAATACAAAAATTAGCACGGCATGGTGGTGCGTGCCTGTAATCCCAGCTACTCGGGAGACAGAGACAGGAGAATCACTTGAACCTGGGACGCAGAGGTTGCAGTGAGCCAAGATTGCGCTACTGCACTCCAGCCTGGGCAACAGAGACTCGGTCTCAAAAAAATAAAATAGTCACCAATCACCAACCACCAGTGTTATTTTAACTTCTTCTTTCACATTTTTTTCCAAACAATAGTCTTAGTGAATTTATTTGGTAGGCATTCAAAATATACAGAGACACAGAGAACTGACTGATTTAAATTTGTGTATGAATAAAGCCGTTTTTAAGCTAGACAATTCTTTAAATTTTTTTTTAGTGGCGAGCAAAGTGAACGCCACTGCTATTTACCAGGAAAGTAATTAAGCCTATTTCTCTGACAAGTTAAAATGTATATATCTTTTAAGAAACTGGGTCTCACTATGTTGCCTGGGCTAGATTCAAACTCCTAGGCTCAAATGATCCTCCTGCCTCAGACTCCCTAGTACCTGCAGCACTTGAGCCCAGTAGTTCAAGAACAGCCTGGGCAACATGGGAAGACTCTGCCTCTACAAAAATACTTAAAAATTAGCTAGGCATGGCTCGGCACGGTAGCTCACGCCTGTAATCCCAGAACTTTGGGAGTCTGAGGTGGGCGGATCACGAGGTCAGGAGATCGGGACCATCCTGGCCAACAAGGTGAAACCCCATCTCTACTAAAAATACAAAAATTAGCTGGGCGTGGTGGTACGTGCCTGTAATCCCAGCTACTCGGGAGGCTGAGGCAGGAGAACTGCTTGAACCAGGGAGTCCAAGGTTTCAGTGAGCCAAGATCGCACCACTGCAATCTAGCCTGGAGAGAAAGTGAAACTCCGTCTCAAAAAAAAAAAAATTAGCTGGGCATGGTGTCATATGCCTGTGGTCCCAGCTACTCCGGAGGCTGGAGTAGGAGGATCACTTGAGGCTGAGGCTACAATGAGCCATGATAATGTTACTGTACTCCAGTCTGGGTGACAAGAGCTCGTGTTTCAAAAATAAATAAAATGAACAAAAAGAATTAATGTAGCTATAAAAATCAGAATGGGTCCAAAAGACCAACTAGTCTTAAAACATTCCCTCTGGTCTCTGCTTTGCCAAATCAGGTTTGAGAAATTAGTTCTCAATAAATTAGACATGTCACATCAAAAAATGTATCTTTCTGGGACAGTGGAAAAAAACAAAAATAATTTCATACTTGACAAGCAATTTAAAAAGAAGCCACATTGTATAGTGGGAGGCCAGACAGTACAATAGTTAGCAGCAGGGCTTTAGAACCAGACTGCCTGAGTTTAAATGGGTGTGCCACTGAGTGTGACCTTGAGCAAGTTACTTAATTTCTCTGTGTTTCAGTTTCATCATCTCTAAAATAAGGAAAATAAACGTATCTACCTCCATAGGGTTGTTAAAAGAATTAAAGCCTTCAGGGAGCTTAAAAGCTGCTTCTTATATTTATTCTTTCTAAATTTTCTGTTTTGAATAGATTCTATATAACTGTAAACTACTCAGTGTTCTCTAAAGAACTGTTGTAGACACTATATTCAGGGACTCACTATGAGCACCAGGCATAGTTTGCTTTCATACCAAATGGTTATCTTCTTTGTTAAATACTTTCAAACTACTGAAAGTGAGACATATACAGACCAAATATTCCATTTACACCAAGTGCTCTGTGGGGAAGGGAAGGGAAATTAAAGATTATCTCTGTTACTCATACAGCAGAGGCCTAAATATGTATTTTTGAAATTATTAAGTCTAATATTATTTGAATACAGTATGTGAATAAACTATGGCTGACCCACTCCTGGAAATGAATCTGAAACATCCCTAAAATCAAATAAATGGACATAATATTACAGAACTTTTCAGATTAGTAGAAAATGTAACCACATAGCATGAGATCTGCACGGTACTGGCATAAACACTGTAATTGTGCCACACAATGAACTTGGTGAGAAACAGTAAGAGGTTAAAGCTAATTTAAAACTTCAGAATCCATTTGTTCTCTGCTAAGTCAAATTGTAAAAATAATACAGCAGTTTTGAAAAGCCCTTAATTAAAAATTCCGTTTCTCTGCCTAGCTGAGTAATGCAGATGATTGAGGAGCCCAAAACTGGATGCACAGCAATTAAGTGTCAGGTTGTCTGGTGGCAAAGATTTCTTCTATCGCTCAGTCACAAGTTGCTGGGAGACTATACCTCTTTCTAAGATGGCTGGAAACAGATCAGACAGTGCAGATGCAAAAAAAAACAAAAAACAAAACAAAAAAAAAAAACGGTCGCTATAGGAACATTGCCGTAAAATCCATTCTCTCTGTTAAGGTTCTTGTTTGAGTTTTCCTAACATAGACATGAACAGCAAAATACTGCTTTAAGTTAACCAATGGTTAACCTTTGCAGCATACACTCGTATTTTTTTTTTTTTCATTTTTCATTTGGCCGCATGGATTCTTAATGTTAGCTTAATTATAGACATAAAGTGGTTTGGCAGTAGCTAGCAATTCCCACTACTCCTTCCACTCGTCCTCCTAAAGAAGGGTTATAAACTCAGGCAAAAAAAAAAAAAAAAAAAAAATGCCAGGCCTCAAAACCAAAGACTCTATCTTACTTTGCCTCAAGTTTGCAAGTTGGTAAAAAAGCTGCCGGTAGGCACTCAAAACAAAACAAAACAATACTGGGTGACTGCTGGACTAAAGAGTACAAGGTGACGAGATCAAGTATCCCGCTAGCCACAGACTAGCTCTGGGATGGCCAGAGAGTGTGACCCCAGCACCTCCGCTCTCTGCTTTCAGGTCCTAAACTGACACCAGTAAAAGGACGACTGGGGGTACCGCATGAGGAAGAAAAGACTTAGGGCTTGGCCCGCCTGCTGCCACTGACCCTCGTGTCCCCAACACAGATGCCGCTAAGAGCTGCGGCCAGGGAGCTCAGATGGGTCCCCAAAAGAGGCATAGGAAAGCGCGACCTCACTGCCGCGGCAGCCGCCACGCGCACCGGACCTGTAGAGGCCGCTCGCGCCTACGCCTCCCGGGGCAACGACGCGCGGCAGGCCGCGGCCGCCTTCACCCCAGCAGCCACGGCCTCTGGGAGAAGGAAGCTCGAAGGCCGCCTGCTCCCCATGCCTCCCACCCCACAACGAATCGCGCCGGAAAAAGCAAAGTTTGACTCTCGCCGTTAGGCCCGAACTTTCCCGCCACCCCGTGCAGCTCCCACTCGGCAGTCCCCGGGCTCCAGCTTCTGGCCCACTCACAGAGACTACTTACTCTGGCTGCTCCCGTAGCGACTGGGTCTCCGCGGCGGCCATCTTGAACTTCCTGACTCCTCGGCGGCGGTGGCGGCGGCTCCCGGACGGTGGAGGGTAGGGGAAGTGGAGGAAGAAGGAAAAGAGCTGCCGCGCATGTGCCGACCGTGTAGGGAAGAGCTGGGTTCTGAGTCCGCGCTAAGAATCCGGATATAAAACCCCACGTCCCGGGACTAGCGCAGGGCGTAGTGTCGCAGCTTCCGGGAGCATGGTGGGCGGTGCTGCTAAGGATTGAGGTCGAGTGTCAAGCTTGAGCTCTTCAGTCAATGCTAGAAATGGACGTTTAGTTATTGAATCCCGCTAACGAGGGGAGCCAACAAGAGAGGGATGTCGGCATCGGGTGTGCGGTTCCAAGAACTGATTGGCTGTGGAGATTAGAAGTTAGGTGAAAATTCTCTTAAACTCGGGCAAACGAATTGATGATTTTTCCCCTGGTCGGTGTTAGAGACACAGTAAATGCTTAACCATCTCGCTAGACAGCTCAACTGAAGTGGCATTAACTTCCCGGGAAAGTGTGTAGAAAGGCATTTTTAAATACTGTAAACTCGAACGTAAATATCTTTTAATGTGGAACTGTTACTACATTTAACACTGAACATCTTTTCAACTTTTACATAGTTCAAGGGTGACACGATTCAGTTCGTTATTTCCGTAATTGGAACGTGTAATGTTTTTTGGCCCAAGTTGCGTTATGTGATTTTGTTTTCTTCTATAACGACTCTACAGTAATGGGGTAGAATGGAATATTGTGGGGAAAACATTTACTGGCTCTTGGAGAACTCTCAAAACCAATTAGGTTCTTTAATTCCTCTTTAAAAAAATATTTCTCGCCTGGCGCTGTGGCTCACCCCTGTAATCCCAGCACCTTGGGAGGCCGAGGCGGGCGGATCACCTGAGGCCAGGATTTGGAGACCAGCCTGGCCAACATGGTGAAACCCCGTCTCTATTAAAAATACAAAAAATTAGCTGGGCGTGGTGGCGCTCGCCTATAATCCCAGCTACTCCGGAGGCTGAGGCAGGAGAATCGCTTGAACCCGAGAGGCGGAGTTTGCACTGAGATCACGCCACTGCACTCCAGCCTGGGCGACAGAGCAAGATTCCATCTCAAAAAAAAAAAAAAAATTATCCATACTTTGGAACCTGGAAGCAGCGTGACGATCACTTTCATTCTTGTAATCATCTGAGTTTGCCTTTGTCCTAGAAAATTGAGTTCGGAATCTCCAGACTCCATACATATCTCTTGATTTCCAGGGGAGAAGGGTTTTAAATGTTCTTACAAAATGTCTCTTGTTGCCTGAATTCCAAACGTTTTGAAATGTTAGGGCCGGGCGCGGTGGCTCACGCCTGCAATCCTCTAGCACTTTGGGAGGCCGAGGCGGGCGGATTGCCTGAACTCAAGAGTTCGAGTCCAGCCTGGCCAACATAGCGAAACTCCGTCTCTGCTAAAAATACAAAAAATTAGCCGGCGTGGTGGCGCCTGTAGTCTCAGCTACTCGGGAGGCTGAGGCAAGAGAATCGCTTGAACCCGGGAGGCCGAGATCGCGCCATTGCACTCCAGCCTGGGCAACAAAAGCAAAAACGCCGTCTCAAATAAATAAATGAAATAAACTTAGTAAACTATTTTTAAATAATGTTAAAATTAACGGTGTACGTAGTAGAACTGTGAGAGATCTCATCTTGGAAATAGAGTGATATACTTGAAGGCAAGAGATTGGGTCAGGTACTATTAACACGTTTTACACATGAACAAACCGACACTAAGAGGTAAGGTAATTTGCTTATGATTGAGTTCCCAAGTACAAAGCTGATTTTTGAACTAAAATCTGACTCGAAAATCTGCTCTTTTCTTATCAGGCTGCTTCCTACAAAAATATAACCTCGCTTAGCATCTGCTTGTTAAGCATCCACCCTCACAGCTCTTTGGCATTCAAATGTTTGTTGAGTAGGGGTAATAGAGCACTACGTTCGAATCAGAAAATGCCTTATTTTTCCTTGCTTGCAAGAGCCTATTATAAATAAATGCCTTGTTTTCGCTGTGTCTCTTTCTTGTTGTCGAGAGCTCAGGCTGGTCTTAATTTCTGCAACCATAGTATTATCTCCCAGGTCTCCTTCTGCCCTGTGTATTTTGCAGTTATGCTTTATGTGGAGATGAAGCATCCTAAGTGTGGAGAACGATATATGGGGCCCGAACAATAGGTGCTGAAGCCAGATTGTGTGACTAAAGTTGGTATTTGAACAAACCAAGTGTTTATTTTTTTAAAGAGCATGGTAAAAACTAAGTTTCAAAAATCGATGCTGGCAAAAATTTCCTTGAAAAAATTCTCACCAAGTTCACTTGCACGGTACTACCTGGGGAATGAAACACATTTGTCAAGGACACGCCCAAAACTATGTTGCTGTTGTAATTTTCAAAGACTGGGAACTGCGGCAGGGGGAGTTACAATTAAAGCAAACATCGGCGTATCAGTTTATTCATTCAGCAAACGTTTATGAAGCAACAAACGTATGCCCAATATTTCAGTCTTGCTGCTCTTCCTCCCCAAATTCAGGAACCTTTGCAACGGAAAGCGGCCTCGGGCAGGCGCCTTTTGAGCAGAGGAGTAAAACCGGTAAGTCAGCAGTGGAACCCGCCTCCCCGGAAATCCTTGGAGGGGGCGGGGCCCTGGGGAGCGCGCTCTTCCCAGCGGCAGCTGGGGAGGCGCATGCGTACTTGCGTCATCGTTGGGTAGCAGCGGGGAGGCGTGGGAGGATCTGAGGCCTGCGGTGGGCCTTGGTCCCTTCTCTCCCCGCCCCGAAGCCGCCTGCTCAACCTGAGGGCCACCGGCCTCTATCCGTCGGTGCCGATGCTCCTTGCTTCCCAGCCAGAGCGTCTCATCTCTGGGCCCGGAGCCCCAGGCTCGTTCTCCTCAGCCCCTGCCGGCGGCGGCGCTCTTGCAGCCATTCCTGTGAGGTCGTTTTTCGGAGCAGCCGGGCCGGCCGAGGAGTAAGTAGGCGCCAGAGTTCTAGCTCGGGCATCTGCCTCGGGGCCCTGTCGCCGCCGCGCCCCGGATCCTGCGTTGGTCCTGTCCGATAAAGCGGAGGTCGGCCCTGCTTGCTGACGAGACCGTAAAAACCACGGCGCTTGGCGCCCTGCCGCCGCCACACCACACCAAAGTGTACCTGCCCGAGGCTGGCTTCGGGCGCGAGCTTGCATTTGTGACTTTCTCTTACCGTCTTTGTTTGCTTCGTTTTAAGTATTACTTCCAGATAAGGGACACATTCTCGAAATACTTTGAAAACAGTTTTGAATTTTGTTCCTCCCGTTGAAACGGATTAAATTTGGACCTTTCAAGCTACACTGTGCAATCATCAATCTCAATAAGCTCTTAATAGGCTCATTCTTCCGTAGGCTACAAACAAAATAAAGATCATAACATCCTGCGGAGGAAGCCATTGGTCCATGTAGAGTCGCCAGATGTCAATTAAGAGTAGATCGCTTTTCAGAGAATACTTAACGACTCTGGTTTAGACCTAGACTTGGAACTTTGAGGTGTTTGGAACACTGGGCAGAATTTTCCTTTGTTACAAAACAAAGTTTATGAGAACGTAATTTGTTTTTGTTGTTTTTGTTGTTAGTATTGAAGCAATTTTGGTGCAAACCAAAGGATAACAAAGCAAAACAATGAAAATCACCCAGAGTTCCATTACCCACACTGAACCAACTTGAATATATTGGTTTATTTTGGCTTTTTTCCATATGAAATGTTAAATTTTCTTGTACTCACGTGTAGAATATGATAGTTTGCTCTTTCATGTAACATGTCTCCCAATTTTTACATACATAATTCTAGTTTCAGTAAGCATTTTTATAACTACACTCTTTTTCCTTTGTTATTGTATGTCTAGGTTATTTCAACTTTGCACTGTTGCTTGTAACTACTATGTGATGAGGCAGTAGCTAGATTAGTATTTAGAACGTGAGCATTCAAGTCAGGCAGACCTGGGCTTCACAACTTACTGTGCAATTTCAAAGAGTTTAACTTTTTTGAGCCTCATTTTACACAGTAACATGGGGATAATGGTTCTGATTGCATAGAATTATTATGAGAGTAAGATGAAATAATGAGTGGAAGTGCCTGCAGCATGTATTGTTAGTAAATGCTGTATTACTGCAGGCAAATTTTTCTTTTGTTGTGGTTTTTTGGTGACATGTATGATTTATTTCCAGATTTTGAATATACTTAAATACTATTAACCACAGTAGGGGTATGGGGTTTGATCCACAGCTTTTCATATATTTTATACAATATATTGTGTGTTTGATACACAGCTTTTCATATACTTTATTATAAGTAACACATGAATTAGAAATAATTTTTCACAATAGGAAAAACTTTTTAAAAATTAAAATTTATAATCCTGCTAACCGTAGGTGAATAGTCACATTTTGGGCAATCCTTTTTTATGCATATATATGTAGTGGTTTTATTTTATTTTATTTTATTTTTATTTTTTGAAACGGAGTCTTGCTCTGTTGCTCAGGCTAGGGTGCAATGGTGCGACCTCGGCTCACTGCAACCTCCGCCTCACGGGTTCAAGCAATTCTCCTGCCTCAGCCTCCCGAGTAGCTGGGATTACAGGCGCCCGCCGCTGCGCCCGGCTAATTTTTATATTTTTAGTAGAGACGGGGTTTCACCATCTTGGCCAGGCTGGTCTCGAACTCCTGACCTCGTGATCCACTCGCCTCAGCCTCCCAAAGTGCTGGGATTACAGGCATGAGCCACCGTGCTGGGCCTGTAGTGTTTTCTAAAAATAGAATTATATTATAAATTGGGTTTATCAACTTGCTGAAAATGGCAGAGGCCAGTGCGATGAGAGTAGGGTGATTAAGGGAGTAGGAAGTAATGCAGGAAAGGGAGTTTGTAGGATTTAGATTTCACTGAAAGTGTACTGGACAGGTTGGGCATAGTGGCTCAGGCCTGTAATTGTGTCACTTTGGGAGGCTGAAGTGGAAAGATCCCTTAAGCCCAGGAGTTCGAGCCAGCCTGGGCAACATAGGGAAACCCTATCTCTATAAAATAAAAATAAAAATAATTATTTTGAAAAAAAAGTTTACTGGACAGAGTAAGTTCAGGGTTGAGGAGTGACCTGATTTGTTTTAGAAGGCTCATTTGGCTGCCATATGGAGATAGACTGCAAGGGACCAGGGGAGGAAGATGCAATCCAATTAGGAGAGTATTTAAGTAATCTCTGTGAGAGATGGTGTTAGTTTCGATCAGGGTGTAAGTAGGGAAAAATGATTGGGTTCTGGATATATTTTGAAGGGAGAAGTTATAGGATTCACTGATTGATGGGATGTGGAATTCAAGAGAAAGTGACTTAAAGAATTTTGGTTTGGGCAGTTAAACAGATACAGTTGCTACTTACCAAGATAGAGACTGAAAGTTGGGGGAAACTAAATAGAGTTCTGTTTCAGTCATGTTACCTGTTGTGGAGTCTAACTAGTTGGAACAGGAGTATGAAAGACTTAATCTTCTGTTCTTGAGGTATCAATTTGTCCCTTCATTTCTGTCAGTTTTTGCTACATATATTCTGTTACTAGGTGCATCTATCCTTGTAAATTGTTACATCTTCCTTGTGGGTTTATCCTTTTATCATTAAAAATGTTTCTCTTTTTCTCTAGTAACATTGTTTTAAAGTCTATTTTGTCTGATATTAATGTAGCTATTTCAGTTCTCACGTGATTACTATTTACATGCTTTGTATCATTGACTCTAAAATGTGTCTCCTGTAGACATATAGTTGGATCTTGGTTTGTTTTTTGTTTGTTTGTTTGTTTTTTGTTTTGAGACAGAGTCTTGCCCTGCCTCCTTGGCTGGAGTACAATGGCGTGATCTGGGCTCACTGCAACCTCCACCTCCCGGGTTCAGACGATTCTCCCACCTCAGCCTCCCCAGTAACTGGGATTACAGGGGCCCGCCACCACGCCCAGCTAATTTTTGTATTTTTAGTAGAGACGGGGTTTCACCATGTTGGCCAGGCTGGTCTCAAACTCCTGACCTTGTGATCCACCTGCCTCGGCCTCCCAAAGTGCTGGGACTACAGGCATGAGCCACTGTGCCTGGCCGGATCTTGTTTTTTTTAATCTGATAATTTCTGCCTTTTGATCCAATTGTTTAATCATTCACATTTAATGTTATTGATATAGTTGGATTTATGTATGCCATCTTATTTTTGTTTTCCTTATGTCTTGTCTTTTTCTTTTCCTGTCTCTCCTTTACTGCTTTGTTTTGGATCAAGTGAATATCTTCTAATGTAGCATTTTAATTTCTTGAATGATTTTTTACACTGTTTTAAGTTTTTTTTAGAGACTGTAGTGGTGCTCTAGGGCTTACCGTACAATTAGCTTAACTTATTAGAATCAGCTTCAGATTTATACTAACTCAATTGCAGTGAGATATAGAAACCTTACTCCAATATAGTTTTATTCCATGTCCCTGTTTTTTTGTGGTTTTGTTGTTGTACATGTTATAGTTGTTACAAACTCAACAATACATTACTACAATTATTACTTTTACATCATTTAAAGAAAATGAACAAAGGAAAGCAAATATATATTTGTAGCTTTTGTTATAGTAACCTTATTTATCATTTCAGGTTGTTTGTTTATTTTTCTTGTGGATTCATTACCATCTGGAGTAATTTTGTTTTCTTTTTCTTTCTTTTTTTTTTTTTTGGAGGGATAACAGGGTCTTGCTCTGTTGCCCAGGCTGCTGGAGTGCAGTGTCATGAATATATCTCACTGTAGCGTCAAACTCCTGGACTCAAAGTGATCCTTCCACCTCAACCTCCTGAGTAGCTGGGACTACAGGCACATGCCACCAGGCATGGCTAATATTTGTATTTTCTGCACCTCAGCCTTCTGAGTAACTATATTACTCTATAAGCACACATCACCACACCCAGCTAATTTTTAAATTTTTTATAGAGACAGAGTCTCACTGTGTTGCTCAGGCTGGTCTCTAACTCCTGGCCTCAAGTGATCCTCCAGCTCTGGCCTCCCAAAAGTGCTGGGATTACAGGCATGAGTTCTTTGTATGAGTTCCTTGTATATTTTGGATATTAACCCCTTGTTAGATAAAAGGTTTTTCAGTATTTTCTCCCATTCCGTGGACTGCCTTTTCATTTTGTTGTTTCCTTTGCTGTGCAGAAGCTTTTTTGTTTGGTTTAGTTCCATTTGCTTATTTTTGCTTTTGTTGCCTGTGCTTTTGGTGTCATTTACAAAACAAACAAACAAAATTATTGCCAAGACTAATGTCATGGAGCTTTTCCACTGTTTTCTTCTAGTTTTACAGTTTCATGTCTTACACTTAAGTCTTTTCACTTTTTTTTTTTTTTGAGACAGAGTCTCCCTCTGTTGCCCAGGCTGGAGTGCAGTGGTGTATGATCTTGACTCACTGCAACCTCCACCTCCTGGGTTCAAGTGATTCTCCTGCCTCAGCCTCCCGAGTAGGTGGGATTATAGGCATGTGCCACTGTGCCCGGTTTATTTTTGTATTTTTAATAGAAATGGGGTTTCACCAGGCTGGTCTTGAACTCCTGACCTCAAGTGATCCACCCGCCTCAGCCTCTCAAGGGACTAGGATTACAGGCAAGAGCCACTGCGCCTGGCCTCTTTTAACCATTTTGAATTGACTTTTGTGGATGGGGTAAGATAAGGGTCCAATTTCATTTCTTGGCATGTGGTTATCTAGCTTTTTCAACACCATTTATTAAAGAGACTATCCTTTCTTTATTGTGTACTTTTGACACCTTTGTTGATGATTAGTTGGCCACATAAACGAGGATTTATTTCTGGGATTCCTATTCTGTTCCATTGGTCTATATGTCTCCTTTTATGCCAGTACCATACAGTTTTGATTACTGTAGGTCTGTAATATAATTTGAAATGAAGTGTGATGCCACCAGCTTTGTTCTTCTTGCTCAGGATCATTTTAGATATTCTGGGTCTTTTGGGTTCTGTATGGATGTTAGGAATTTTTTTTTTTTTTCTGTGAAAAATGTCATTGGAGTTTTGCTAGAGATTGCGTTGAATCTGTAGACTACTTTGTGTATTGCAGACATTTTGACAATAATGATTCTTCTGATCCTGAACATGGGATAGCTTTCCATTTATTTGTGTCATCTCCAGTTCTTTCATATATGTATTATAGCTTTTAGCATACACATCTTTCCCCTCCTTGGTAAAACTTATTCCTAAGTATTTTATTCCTTTTGATGCTATTGTAAATGGGATTGCTTTCTTAATTTCTTTCTTGGATACTTCACTGTTAGTGAAGTGTAATTGATTTTTGTATGTTGATTTTGTATCCTGAAACTTTACTGGATTCGTTTATTCATTCTAACAGTTTTTAGTGGCGTATTTAGGGTTTTCTGTATATAGGATGATGTCACCTGCAGAGACAATTTTACTTCTTCCTTTCTGATTTGGATGCCTTTTATTTCTTTTCCTTGCCTAATTTCTGTGGCTAGGATTTCTAGTACTATGTTGAATGTAAGTGATAAGTGTGGGCATCCTTGTCTGTCCTTGTCACATTCAGTTGTATGTGCAATACTGGAACCATCCAGCTCATAGTCACGTAATTCCTCTTTGTGCAGCCTCATGTAAAATCACACCCCTATTCACATTTTTTTCTGTCTGTCTCCCACCTCTCCAGGTCCCTGCCCTGCAACTTTCAGTTACTTCAGACTCTCAGAAGACTAGCCTCTAAATACCTCAATTTATCTGCACTACTGTGGTCTACTTGAAATTCTCTTCCCTCTTCTGCAGTTTGTAATGGCATTCAGGCCAAAAACTGTAGTAGTTTTAGGGCTCTCTTCATTTGCTTCTCTGCTCCTAGGGATCATAGTGCTGTGCTATCTGTTGTCCAGCATCTGACACAGTTGGTTTTATATTTTGTCTGGTTTTCTAGTTATTAAGCAGGTTAAGTCTGGTTCCTGCTGTTCTATATAGCAGGAAGCAAAGGTTCTCTCATGAATTTTTAGCATAATAACATAAGCGTGGATTCCAAAAATTCATTACACAGATCCTGGAAATCTGTTTACTATGTTTTATACATTCTGTGAAAGCTGGAGAATATATATTTGTTTTACTATGTGTATCGCAAATAAAATATCAATTTCATGTGCCAGAGAATTGAATACATTATCAAAGGGTCATTTCATAACGTTATAATCACCATCCATCCTGTAAGTCCTTTGAAATTTCTTCTTTTCTATGGATCTAACATTGATCAATAACGAATTCCTAAGCATCTATATTAGTTAGCCCAGTGTTTCTCAAAGTCCACCGCATGTAAAAATCATCTAGGGAATCTTTCTAAAATGTGGATTCTGATTTAGTAGGTCTGGGGTGAGGTCTTCCCTTTTGCAATTCCAGCAAGTTCCCATGGGATGCTGGTACTGGTTAATGGAAGTCACTTAGAGTAGCAAGGAGCCTGTTTGCCTAGTATTTACAATGAGCACGTTTTGGGTATCATCAAAACAAGAGAATCTAAAAATGTATGGTGTGGGTGGAAGGTTGTGTTACTTGATATTTCAAAAAGATCATTGAAATCAGAAAATCTCAGAGATATGTTGGATTTCATCACATTTATTCTATGGCTTAATGTTGTTTTATTTTGAATATATAATAAGAGAGATACCACAAATCTTTAGCTATTAATATTTAGGGATGTTAATGTCCTTAATTCATATTGTCTCAAATGTGATTCATTCCCTCTATAGGTATACTAAAACAGGCATTCATGCCTACAAAACCATCTTCCTAACTTTCTTTCCTCTTTTTAGTCTCTTCCTGAACCAGTGACAGTGGTTCTCAAACATTTTGGTCTGAGGACCCCTTTATGGCCTTAAAAATGATCGAAGAGCTTTTATTTATGAAGGTAATACCTGCTAATACTTGTTGTAATCTATTAACATTGAGAAATGTAAAAATTTTTATTAATTCACTTAAAATATCAATAAACCCATTATTTGCTAATATAAATTGCACTTTTTAATGAAAAATAACTTTAGTTTCTACTGTGTGCTTCTGCATTTTGAAAATATGTCTAGGATACGGTATGTATTTAGGAGATATTTTCTAAATAAATGCATATTCATTTTTTAAAATGGGACAAATGTAGCATAGACATATTTTTGCTAACAATATCCATATAGTTGCAAATTTCACTTTTAGAATTTGCTTTCAAAAACAGGTTGTTTATTCTTCTTTGTTATGCCTTAGTTAGTAAATCATATATTATAAAACTTCTTCAATGCAATTGGTCTTTGGTCAGCCATTGACATAGGAAGAGTTAGAAAGAGTCCAGGGCTCCTTGGTACTGGCTGTGACTGGATAAGTAGGTTGTGGCTTAGTTTGTGTTTAGGTGTCATAACTAGGCTAGGTTTGGGTCCCAGAAAGTGCTAGCCTTACTGTAGGAGAGGAAGTGGTATTGCTGGGTGTGTCCTCAGGTCAGGAAGTGGGACGAGTGCAGTATGGAAGCCCAGGGGGGTCCTTGTGACTGGAGGAAAGGTGAGGTTTCCAGTAAAGGATTCAGAATTCGGGCATGGTGCAGCATGCCTATAGCCCCAGCTACTCAGGAGGCTGAAGTGGGAGGATCACTTGAGACCAGGAGTTCAAGGTTGCAGTGAGCTGTCATTGCGCCACTGCACCCCAGCCTGGGTGACAGAGTGAGACCTGTCTCAAAAATAAATACATAAAAATAATAATTAAAAAAAAAGGATTCAGAATTCTAGAATACATATTATCTTTCTATCATGCAGATCTGTTCTTAGGATTGTATTTTCCAAATCATGAATAAAATAATTTCCAAAATACTTATTGGGAAATTATATATATGTACTGTATTACTTGGAATAAAAATCAAATAAAAGTCAAACTTCTTAATGTGGCTGTAAAGCCTTGATTATTTAAACCTTGCCTATTTTTCAGTTTAATCTTTCAGCCACACTGGCCCTTGTGTTAATCCTAAAACATGCCATGCTTTTTCCTACATTAAAGCTTAGGGTTTTTGATATTTCTACTGCCTGGATTTCTCTGTTCTCACTCTTCCTCTTGATCACCATGACTTATTTTTCAAGTGTTGGCTTAAATGTCCGTCTCACAGATAGCCCTTATCTAAATAACAGCTTTCCCTCTGGTTCCTAGATAAATTAGGACCTGTTTTTTTCTATAACTTTCTTAAAGTATCCTATTATTTTCCCTGATAAAACCTTGTTGGACTGTTTGTCAGTATATTTATTTGCCTGTTTGTTTGGTGTCAGTTTCTCTTTTTTTCCTGTGTGTTTTGTTTGTTTGTTTTTTTGAGACGCAGTTTCACTCTGTCACCAGGCTGGAGTGCAATGGTGCAATCTCGGCTCACCACAACCTCCACCTCCCAGGTTCAAGCAATTCTTCTGCCTCAGCCTCCCGAGTAGCTGGGATTACAGGCATGTGCCACCATCCTGGCTAATTTTGTATTTTTAGTAGAGACAGGGTTTTTCCATGTTGGTCAGGCTGGTCGCAAACTCCCGACCTCAGGTGATCCGCCTGTCTTGGCCTCCCAAGGTGCTGAGATTACAGGCGTGAACCACCGCACCCGGCCTGTTTGTTTGTTTTCTTATTAGACTATAAACTATATGAGATCAGACCATGTCTCTTTTGTTTATCACTCTGGCCTACCTGCTAACACAGTGCTTACACATAATAGTAGGTGCTCAAGAAATACAGTGTTTGATGGATGAACGTAAAATTGTAAGAGCCTGAACTAGTGTAATATCGAAAATAGGGAGGAAGACATGAATTAGGAAAGCCTTTGAAAAATTAGCATGTTCTGTGATAAAGCTACATCTAGGCAATATTTTTTGATACTTTTAAAAAAAAAACTGTAATAGCTACCCAATATTTAGGAATGATACACATCACACATCTCAGTGAGGTATGTAGCCTTTTGTACTGGTGAAGAGAGCCAGGTGAAGTCTAACTCTAAGGATCTAAACACTCCATTCTAGTAGAGAGCCTGGAGAAGTGCTCTTGCATAAGCTCATCCATGTAAGACCATCCATAACTTAGTGAAATAATTTTCATTGCTGTTTAGTTGCAAAAATCACTCACTGTTTTGCCTCCATAAGATTATCGGTTTTAGTGTTTAATCGTTCACAGCCTTGTCAAAACCAAAATGGCTAGGGAGAGAACTATTTCCCTACATTAAAACTTCGAGCAATGCTCTTCATAGATTTTGTTTTGAATTGTTTAGGCCCATCTCAGAGTTCAAGACACTTAGTCTCTTCTAAGAGAAATCATGGTCACAACAAACAGAGATTAAATAAAGAGCAAGAAATTAGAAGAAACTCAAACCATTCACTTAGATTATTTGTTAGATTTTGGCCTTAAAAAGAGACAAAGTTGCTTGAAACAAGTGATTAAACTGACATTTTTAGATTATTATTTTATTCATACCTTTATTGTGAATAAATTGGCCACATGATAACATTTTATAATGTTAAATAAATATGATATATATAAATCTGTATACCACAACAATTAAATTGGAGGGCGATTTGCCATTTAAATAATTTATCATAGGATTTTTATAAGATCAAGCGCTTAGTGCATATCAAAGAGACAGAAAGTTTTCATTGCAGTTCTGCACGTTCACTGAGTACCTTTTATGTACCAGTTGCATTGTTCTAGAATCTTATCTATCATGTAAAGCTAGGTACACCTGAAATAGTTTAGTTATGGTGGCAAAGTTAGACTGCAGTTATTGGCTGGGAATTTTTTGTATATCTATGTACATCTTCCATAAGAGGGCAGCAAAGGACCAGCATGATTTTTTCCTTATCATGAAGTCATAGCAGAGATTGCCTCATATTGCAAACTTAATAGAAATCTTCTCAGAGTAAGGGCAAACAGAGGGCATGGTTACAAGTTTACTTACTGTCTAGCCTGTCTTTTATATGGTCTGATATGGCTTTTTAGTACATAGATTATCTCACATCACAGTGATAGCCTAGTGATTAAATGTTGATCCTGGGGTCAGTTGTCAGGCTTTAAATCCTGGAACCATAACTTAACTAGCTTCGTGGTCTAGAAAGACTACTCAGTCTTTCTGAGCCTCAGTTTCTTCCTCAATTTTTTATAAAAAGGAGGGCAAGGGATAGTAACAATGCCACTTCACATGGTTTTAATAAACAAAATAAAATTTGTGTCCTGAAGAGGCTAAGAACAGTTAAAAGGTGGAGCTAGAAAAACCACCCTATACTAGCCTTAGGTGTATTGTATTTATTTAAGTTAAACTCTTATTAAAAAGAGTCTCATAAAGGAAAATATAGGTCATTACTTTCTGTAACTACTTAGTATTTTTAGTTAACTAACATATATATCTATGTACTGACCAATTATTTGCTCGTACAATTTATCAAACCAATTAAATATACACTGTTAAATTTATTTCCCTGTCCCCCGAGACAGATCCTGGCTACGTTGCCCAGGCTGGAGTGCAGTGGCGCGATTTTGGCTCACTGCAACCTCTGCCTCCCAGGTTCAGGCAATTCTCCTGCCTCAGCCTCCTGAGTAGCTGGGATTACAGAGGCCTGCCACCATGCCTGGCTAATTTTTGTATTTTTAGTAGAGATGGGATTTCACCATGTTGGCCAGGGTGGTCTCAAACTCCTGACCTCAGGTGATCCAGCCGCCTCGGCCTCCCAGAGTGTTGGGATTACAAGCATGAGCCAGCACGCCTGGCCTGAAAATACATTTTGATGAACAAAAAATTTTTAATTTTTTTTTTTTTTTTTTTCCTGAGACAGAGCTTTGCTCTGTCACCCAGGCTGGAGTGCAATGGCGTGATCTTGCCTCACTGCAACCTATGCCTCCTGGGTTCAAGCAATTCTCCTGCCTCAGCCTCCCGAGTAGCTAGGATTACAGGCATGGGCCACCATGCCCGGCTAATTTTTTGTATTTTTAGTAGAGACGGGATTTCACCATGTTTGCCAGGCTGGTCTCAAACTCCTGACCTTGTGATCCGCCCCCGTGGCCTCCCAAAGTGCTGAGATTGCGGGCGTGAGCCACCACTCCCAGCCAAAAATTTTTTAATTTTAAAAGTCAATGTATATCATTTGTATTTTATAGTTAGTGCTTTTTTTGTATTGTTTAAATTTTTAAAATTCTTCCATTAATCTAAAATATTTTCATGTGTGCTTTCTACTAAGAGAATTTAAGTTTTGTTTTTGACATTATAGTTTTTAATACATTTGGATTTGGATCTTATATCTTGTATGATACAGAACTCTAATTTTCGCCTTTAACTACATGCATAATCATTTTTTCCACCTCCACTTATTGAATAGTTCCTAATTTTCCCATCAATATCATGTGTTTCTTCTGGCATAGCCAAAGTCCCATAAATGTGTGGGTCTGTTGTAGTTTCCTATTTAATTCAGTTAATTTGTCCAATTTGTTTTATTATGCCTTAATTACCACAGCTTCACAGTAAGTCTTTATGTCTGATAGGGCAGCTTCCTCTAGTGTCTTCAGAAATTTCCTGACTTTAAAAAAAATCCTTATTGTTCATGCTTTTTTAAAGAATTAGCTTTACATGATGCAAGAAAAAGATCTGTTGGAATTTTGATTGTAATTTTGTTAAATCTATAGGTCAACTAATTACAATATTGAATCTTCTTATGCACAAACATGGTATATTTCTCCATTTATTCAGGTCTTTATTTAATGTCTCCTAATGTCTTTTTGTAGTTTTTACTTAGAGATCTTACATATTTGTTATTATATTTACTCCTAGGTACTTGGTATTCTCTAAGATTATTGAAAATGCTGTCTTCTTTTTAATTACATTTTCAGGTATTTGTCATTGGTATAAAGAAATGTATTTGACAATAATCTTATATTCACCTTAAATTCTCTTATTTCTAATAAATTGTACTTTTTTTGGTTTTCTACAAAAATGATCATATCTAAAAATAAAGTTAGATTTGTTTATTCTTCTGCATCATTTTGAATTCAGTTTATTATTTCATGTGCTATTAGAACCTTTAATTTAGTATTATTTATTTTTTGATTTGTAAATCGGAATGCTTTTATTATCTTTTCATTTAGGATGATGTTTACTGTAGGTTACTTAGATACGCTCTATGGAAATCTCTTTTATTTTTTCTAAGACCTTTTATTATGAATTTAATGTTGAATTTTATCAAATGCTTTCTCTGCATTTATTAGAATAATTATGATTTTTCTCTATCTGTTATTATAATGGGTCAGATTTATAGATTTTTCTCATACTAAGCCTATCCTTGTATTCCTTGGATAAATCTAACTTGGTAATGTTTACTTTTTTCATAACTTTTAGCTATTAAGTAGATACCAAATTTTCTTTCAAGGTCAAGTTTGATAGTTATAAAAAACTAGTGATACTAAGTCATAGAAAATATACTTTAAAAAACTAGTGATACTAAGTCATAGAAAATATACTTTATTTTATAAAAAGACTTTAACTGTAAAAAGTAAAAAAAAAAAAAAAAAAAAAAAAAAAAAAAAAAAAAACCTGGCCGGGTGCGCTGGCTCACCCCTGTAATCCCAGCACTTTGGGAGGCCGAGGCAGGCAGATCACGAGGTCAGGGGATCGAGACCATCCTGGCTAACACGGCGAAACCCCGTCTTTACTAAAAATACAAAAAATCAGCCGGGCGTGGTGGTGGGCGCCCGTATTCCCAGCTACTCGGGAGGCTGAGGCAGGGGAATGGCGTGAACCCTGGGGGGGCGGAGCTTGCAGTGAGCCAAGATTGCGCCACTGCACTCCAGCCTGGGAGACAGAGCAAGACTCTGCCTCAAAAAAAAAAAAAAAAAAAACCCCTAGAATTTTAATTACTGCCTTTACTTTTAATTCAGTGGTTTTTAGTATATTCACAGAGTTGTGTAACAATCACCATGATCAATTTTAGCATATTTTTATTACTTCAAAAAGCAACTCTGGACTCATGAGCAGTCATTCACTCCCCATCTGCTCCCAACCCCTTTGTTCCCATCCGCCCACCCAGCCCTAGGCAGCCACTAATCTACTTTCTGTCTCTACAGATTTGCCTGTTCTGGACCTTTCATATAAATGCAATCAGGCAAAAGAAAGGAGATTTCAGTGCTCAGTGTTGCCAGGTATCTCTGCCTCCAGTTTTGCACCTTCCTGGAAAGCTCATTTTGTTCAGATTGTCTGCCTGCCTCTATCTATCCTGCCTTCAGTGGATGGCAGAGATTTCATCTCTTTTGTTTGCACAGCCTTGAAAGGTGCTTGATACAGAGATGCTTGGTAAATACTTGCAGAATAAATTATAAAAGTAACACATACTCATAAAAATTTTAAAGTAAAAATATGTATAGTAATAAACACTTGGTGCTTATTACATATCATCCAGTGGGATAAATGCTTGTAAGTATAGTCAGCCTTCTGTTTCCCTGGGTTCCAGATTTGTGGATTCAACCAACTGTGGCTCTAAAATATCTGGGGGGAAAATGGCATCTGTACTGAACATGTACATACTTCTTTTCTTGTCATTCCTTAAACAATACAGTATAACTATTTACATAGCATTTATACTGTATTAGGTATTATAAGTAATCTAGAGATTATTTAAAATATACTGGAGGATGTGCATAGGTTATATGCACATACTATGCCATTTTATATCAGAGATTTGAGCATCCAAGGATTTGGGTATCTGCAAATTTTGGTATTCTTGGGAGGTCCTGGAACCAATCTCTTACAGATACCAAAGGATGGCTGTATTCTCCATTCCTTTTCACCAGCTGAGATCGTACTGTTATCTGCACTTAACAGATTAAGAAATAGGTGTGATGAGTAATTTGTTTAAATTCTGTGGTTGATTGTGTTACTTTTCGACTGTATTCTGTGCTCTTCCCTACAGGAGGATTATTCATTCCTGTTTACTTGAATTCAGGCAACATCATGTAACTTGATTTAAGGAACCGATACATGAGTGGAAATTCTGTGTGGCATTTCTGAGCAGAAGTTTTATGAGGCAGCACATGCTCACTGTGTTACCTGTTCCTTCTGCCATGAGACTGGCAGATGGACATTCTCTATCAGCCAGGATATCAGAATGAAGAAATGTAGAACATAGACCAAAACACCAATGAGAAATAAGCGTTTGTTGTTTTAGGGAAAGTGTGTTACCACAGCATAATTTAACCTATCCCAAGTGAATACATATTCATGGAGTTAATATCTATACCTGAAAATTGAAACTCAGGTTGTCTACATCTAACTATGCCTCTGTCTTTTCCAAAGGTATAAAGTAGGAGAAACTTCCCCATGATCCTACTCTTCCAGTGTTAACTACAGTTAAAATTTAGTGTAAAATTGTTTAATACTTTTTCCTATGTGTATGTCAATGTTCATTTTTTTAAAACTGGGACCACTTTATATGACACATACTATTTTAGAGCTTCCTTTTCCTACTTAGTAATATAAAATGGACCACTGTCACAGGTTAGGTTTTCCATAAACAGACACTGAGTTTGGAATATAAGATTATTTTCAGGGATCATCACCTTTAAAAGGAGAAGTGAAGAAGTAGGATTGGGGAGAGCAAGAAGTAGAGCTGTGATGCTGGCCCACAGATGTCTCTCTGGGGTTCGTATTGTTTGTCAGAGTTATCCCATATCTTGTAGAAGTGGCCATGCTTTTCAACCCACTCCTTACTCAGTGGCCTGATGTGGGCTGCCCTGAGCAAGGTAGCTTTCTGCAGCTGAAGCAGACACTGAAGTTGCTGGCAGCTAACTCCATCTTTGCAGCTGGGCAGCAAATCCTTTCTTGAAGTGGGATCTGGACATTTATATTTGTCTAGCACAGTTCATTTTTTGCATCACTTGGAAACCCTTCTCTGTTTTCATTCCTTTTGTTCTTAATGTATATTCTCAAGCCTCTTGTCTACAATCACTAGATAAGTTTGTTGTAAACTGTCTTAACTATAAAATGAAGAAGGTATAGGTAACTATAATATGAAGAATGCATTGGAAGTGTAAATTTTAAAGGAGTTTGCTGATTAATAACTCTTTTGTTGTAACTTTTGTTCAATGATGTTTGACAAATACTTTTTTTTTTTTTAATTTGAGGCAGAGTCTCACTCTGTTGCCCAAACTGGAATGCAGTGGCATGATCTCAGCTCACTGCAACCTCCGCCTGTTGGGCTCAGAGATCTTCCCGCCCCAGCCTCCCGAGGAGCTGGAACTACAGCCTTGTGCCACCACACCCAGCAAATTTTTGTATTTTATTGCAGAGATGGCATTTCACCATGTTGCCCAGGCTGGTCTTGAACTACTGGACTTAAGCAATCCGCCCACCTGGGCCTCCCAAAGTGCTGAGATTACAGGCATGAGCCACCGCGCCTGGCTGACAAATACTTTTTAAAAATATCCAAGTTTCTGGATTTTATTCACCTCTACAAAAATGATTTAAGTCCTGTAGAAACATGTGCCCACAAATGACACAGTAATCTCCAGCAATGTGTTCAACAGCACGTTGAGCATAATTGAGCATAACAGACATTTTTAAATTTGTTGTCTCAAATTCCATTTAGATTTGGCTATTGATGCAAAATTAGGGAGGTCATTTTTCACTAGATTACTTTCAATGCTGGAATCCATACTTAAAAAAAAAAAAAGAAGAAACTAGATTTAGTATATCTTTCTTTGCCACTTCAGGCTTCCAAAGGAGAAAAATTCATGGATAAGTCATTAACTGTTACAAATGCATTATGTCTTCAGTTGTGATGGTTATGATAAAACATGTTTATTTTATATTTGTAATTTAGTAAAATTAGTTGATTCAAGGAGCTCTATCATAAATGGGAAGTAATAAAATGATAATAATTAAAGCAGGTTATTTTTCTCTGGTCATTTTTGCATTCTTTGTAGCTCATGAAGTAGATTTGTTGCTTTCATCTGTGTCTGCCATGTATGCTAGGCAGGAAAGAAAGGAAGTAAGAAAGATATAGCCATGTGGGGAAAGGAGACAGAGGGAAGGAGGAGGAAAGAGAAGGAAGGAAATAAAATCAACTCTTCGTTTTCTGCACTTTCCCTGAGCAAGTTCTTTTTTATTTGTGTGTACAATGAATCTGCGTTTCTCCCTGCCACGCCCCCTCCCAACCCCTTTGGCTAATAGAAAGCTCTGAAAAAAATTTTGAAACTTATATCCAAATGCAGTGGATATAAATAAAGTTATTTCCCCTGGCTTTTCAAAAATATGAGTGAGTGTTGGATATTAGAAAGCTACCTTACTTCTTTAGATCGAGACCATCCTGGCTAATACGGTGAAACCCCATCTCTACTAAAAATACAAAAAATTAGCCGGGCGCGGTGTTGGGCGCCTGTAGTTCCAGCTACTCGGGAGGCTGAGGCAGGAGAATGGCATGAATCCGGGAGGCGGAGCTTGCAGTGAGCAGAGATCGTGCCACTGCACTCCAACCTGGGCAAAAGAGCGAGACTCCGTCTCAAAAAAAAAAAAAGACAGCTACCTTACTTATTGGAAAGAGATGATCTGTGTGGTCAGTATCAGTTTCTTCACAGGAAAAAAAAAGTAGATTAGTAATAGTGTTTACTAGGCACAGTGCTTTACATTTCTTTACTTAGTTCTCAAAACAATCCCATTACATAGGTATTATCCCATTTAACAGTTGAGAAATCTCAGTCACAGAGAGTTAAGTGACTCCCCAAAGTTCACATGGCTAGTAAATTATGGAGCTCTGGATTTCATGCCCTGAACCAATGTGCTATTACAAGCCACATACTAAGGTTAATACACAAAATACATGTCATAAGATAGGCTCCAAATTGTTTTAGAGCTTCCCAGCAGTCAAACAGAAAAAAGGAAGCATGGTTATTTTCAAGACTTAGGATACATATGATAAAAGCAAAGCAGTTACTCAGCGGAAGTGCACCTTCCTCAGAAGTTGGGCCTGGAAAAAAACTTCAGATATTTATAAAATTGATGCCATACAATGTTGTGAACACTATGTTTCAAAACTGCCCCCTAAAATAGTATGAAGCTTTTTTTTTCACATGACAAATATATGAGAAACCATTATTATTATTATTATTACTGTTTTGAGACAGTGTCTTGCTCTGTCAGCCAGGCTGGAGTGCAGTGGCTCACTGTATCCTGAAACTGCTGGGCTCAAGGGATCCTCCTGCCTCAGCCTCCCAACTAGCCAAGACTACAGGCACACACAACCATGCCTGGCTAATTTTTTTTTTATTATTTTTTGTAGAGACAAGGTCTTGCTATGTTGCCCAGGCTGGTCTCAAACTCCTGGCCTTAGGCAATCAATCTTCCTACCTCGGTCCCCCAAAGTGTTGAGATTACAGACATGAGCCATCACGCCCTGCTGAAACCATTATCTTATGATTTCTGATATGTGACTCTTTCATTGTATGGCATGATCCAAGGATAGATTATACATCGATTCAGTGAACGCATGGACTCTATTCTTCTGAGCAATCCTCCATGAGTATGTGTTTTGAGGCTAATCTTTTGATAAGGATAGACTAGCAAAGAATTTGATTGATTCCGTCAGGACTCTAGAGTAGAAATATCATGTATTGTCAGTTAAAGGCAGATCTTTGAATTTTAACAAAGCCAGCAGAAGGCAGGATTCATACACTTCCAGGTATGTCTGAACAGAAGCCTGCCTGACCACAACACAGATGTGATCGTCTAAGAGTCTTTCTTGGTGTAAAATCCCATGATTCTACAGGGTTTATTCAGATCCTAGTGTCTTAATGAGTTGATGTAAGAGTACAGTGCTATATTCTATGAGGGTGTTATTATTTGTAATGAAAATAGGGAGAATAATTACACATTCTTGCTTTCTTTGGATCAGAGCTTCTTTACTGGTAAATACTCCCCTTTTCATATTTTTGTACCAGTCATCATAATTTCAAAAATAGTATAATACTGTATTCTAAGCATAACATTTTAACTTGTGTTTATATGTGAGAAGTTTAGAAAATATAATAAGAAAAAATAAAAATCTCCCACAATCCTACTGGAGGCTATGAATCTTCTCACTCCCATCTTTTCCTGCACACATGCCAACGAACTAAAAAGGATCAGAATATGCACACTGTTATGTAATCTACCTCATTCATGTAATAATGTATCATGGATGACTCGATGCCATTACATATTAATAGACATAGTGCCTGCAGAGTATTATGTGGACACACTCAGGGCTGATGCTCTGCTAGTATCTTCAAGGCTGCTGGAATAGCCATGCTGGTTGCTAAAATATGGAAAGACTTCCATACTGGTTAGTAAATGGTGCTGCCCTGAGCCCTCTGAATGCCTTCCCACTGGACCTCCCCCCCATCACACTCCCCAGCAACTAAAGGGTTAACGCCTGTCCCATCTGGGGCCTCTAGGATCCTGCTATAGTAGTGTGGCCAGCCTGCTTTCTGATTGATCAGTGCCCATACCAATGGTTAAAATTTTGGATATCATTCTTAAATGTATCATACCACATTGTTGGTAATATTTCGTGTGCTTATTAGAAAGTATTTTTCTGTTAAATATATATATGTGTGTATATTTTTAAGTCTTCCGACAGACTTCTTTGACATGTTATGTCTTCAGGAAGCCATAGGCTCTCATGGGAAATTGGTGTCTGGAATTATCACTGCATTAATGTAATAATATATATTTACTAGAACAGTGGTTTGACATATGAAAATCTTAATTTATACACCAAGCATACTTGAATGTAGACTTTTCCTTCTCTATAGACCAGAAACCATGGCATTTATTTGGAATTGCTTGATGTCACTTTAAATTGAGACATTCAATCCATTCCTCTTTTGAATATGAAAAACTTTTTCCTTTAAGACAATAGTATTTTAGACTTCACCATCCTCCCATACTGTTCTTTTATATTTCTTCATGTTCTTTCTTCACTAATCCATTTCTAACACACCCATATAATTTTTCAGAT